>NC_000006.12:159010183-159161699 GCF_000001405.40 Homo sapiens
TTCCTTCCTTCCTTCCTTCCTTCCTTCCCTCCTTCCTTCCTTCCTTCCTTCCCTCCTTCCTTCCTTCCTTCCCTCCCTCTCGCTCTCTCTTTCTTTCTTTTCTTTCTTTCTTTTCTCTCTCTTTCTTTTTCCCTTCCCTTCCCTTCTTCTTCCCTTCCCTTCCTGACAGGGTCTCACTCTGTCACCCAGGCTGGAGTGTAGTGATGCAAAATCATGACTCACTGCAGTCTTAACCTCCTGGGATCAAGCCATCCACTGGCCTCAGCCTCCAGAATAGCTGATACTACAGGTAGTTGCCACTATGCCCAGCTAATTTTTCTATTTTAATTTTTTTTCCAGTTTTAAATAGTTTAAAAATTAGCCAGGCATGGTGGCGGGTGCCTGTAGTCCTAGCTACTCAGGAGGCTGAGGCAGGAGAATGGCGTGCACCCGGGAGGCAGAGCTTGCAGTGAGCTCAGATCTCGCCATTGCACTCCAGCCTGGGCGACAGAGCGAGACTCTGTCTCAAAAAAAAAAAAAAAAAAAAAGTTTATTCAAGAAAAAGCTGGGAGTGGCCCATTCAGGAGGAAAAGACTCCAGAGAAACAGGGTCAGTGCTCCAAACGTCAAAGGTAAGTTCTTAATTATAGAGGCAGAAAACAAAGACATTAACAGGATTACAAAATTTTTTATACAAGGCTGGTTTAAGATGAAACTCTAATATATAGGACATAAATAAGACTTCTAAAGTGTGTTCTAAGAACACCTGCCAAAATTATCAAAATTCTGTCATTGTTCCTGGGATTCATTTAAAATGACAGGGCTGGGGACTCCTGGTTTAAAGTGGCATTGACTGAAGTTGGAATTTCTTCCAATTCTAACTAAATACCCATGGCAGTAGGACAGGGCATGTCCCATTTCTGTCTAGAGGAGCACAGTAGCTGGAAATGGGAGGGAGCTGGGAGCTGGACATTGCAGTCTGTTTTTTAGCTTGAAGAGGAGATTGACAGGCACCCAGGTAGATAGAAAGTGAGGCCGAGGACAATATGATGTGTGTCTGTTGGTGGGCACCAGGTCTGGATCTGTTCTATTCATTGGAGGAGGAGGTGAGGAGAAACATAAAATCTGCGAAAAAATGCTGTCAAGTAGGAGGAAGGGAACACACATTTGAATAATCAGAGGAAGACAGAGCTCTAAAAATGAAACTCATTGGTATCCCTAAAGATGCTGTTTGGTACCACCTTTGAATAAAGCCATGCAGAGAATTCTTAAGATGCAAAAAGACGGATGTGATTGAAAAAGACTGATATTATAGGCAAAAATATTTTTTAATGCTTACCACATGCCAGCAATGGCGCTCGGGGCTGAGGATATAATGATGAATAAAATTGCCATGATTCTTGTCCTCTCAGAATCTAGTGAGGTACCAGACAAGGGAACTGGCATTTCCAATTCAGTGTGAAATGTGTGATAATAGGGTTGGCAGGGCACAATAGAAGCACGAGGACTCCGAGCCATCCTTGGCGGTCGTGGCAAGCTTCCTACATGAAAGCTGGAGCTCAGAGCATATGAAGATGTAGGAGTTTGCCAAATGAAATGACATGGTGGTGGAGAGTGTTTATGACCAAAGAATGCCGTGTGTGAAGCCCTAGAGGTGAGAAAAAACCCAAGATGTTGTCCAGGCCCAGTGGCTCATGCCTGTAATCCCAGCACTTTGGGAGGCCAAGGCAGGAGAATTGCTTGAGCCCAGAAGTTTGAGACCAGACTGGGCAACATGGTGAAACCCCATCTTTACAAAAAAATACAAAAATTTGCTGAGTGTGGTGACACGCAGCTGTAGTCCCAGCTGCTTGGGAGGCTGAGGCCAGAGGATCGATTGAACCTGGGAGGTAGAGGCTGCAGTGTGCTGTGATTATGTCGCTGCACTCCAGCCTGGGTAACAGAGGGAGACCCTGCCTCCAAAAGCAAATACAAAAACAAAACCCTAGAATGTTGAGGAATTGAGAGAAGTTCAATGTGTCTGAATCAGAGTATGAGGCAGGGAATATCAAGAGATAAGTGATTAAAAAGCAATTAAAGATGAATAATAGCATTCACATCCACATAGAGAGAATGCTGTTGAATGTCAAATGAGGGATGTGAAGAACCACCTAACGTATGTTGCCAGAATGCAGAGAAAAGGATTAAAAATATTGGCCGAGTGTGGGAGATGAGAGCTATCTAGGGGAGGGAAGAATGAGTCAACGCAAGAATCTTAGGTATTCCTATGGGAAAATAGAAGCAACAACCAAAGACCTAATTAAACAAGTGTTTCTTGTGCTGAAAAGAACTTGAAGATGAAGATCAAAAGAATCCACCACAGGGCTGGGCGCAGGGGCTCATGCCTGTAATCCTAACACTTTGGGAGGCTGAGGCAGGCAGATTGCTTGAGGTCAGGAGTTTGAGACCAGCCTGGCCAACGTGGAGAAACCCTGTCTCTACTAAAAATACAAAAATTAGCTAGGTGTGGTGGCGTGTGCCTGTAATCCCAGCTGCATGAGAGGCTGAGGCAGGAGAGAATTGCTCGAACCCAGGAGGTGGAGGTTGCAGTGAGCCGAGATTGCACCACTGCACTCCAGCCTGGGTAACAGAGCGAGGCTCCATCTCAAAAAAAAAAAAAAAAAAAAAAAAAGAATCCACTGCATTCCAAGAAAAAAGAATGACAACATTTTCACATTACAAAGATATAAGAAATAGACCATATGAGCATTCAGATAGAAAAAAGTAAGTTTCCTATGCAGGAACAAAAATCTCTCTGGCCATAGGCTTTTTTTTAAAATTTTTTAATTTTTTTATTTTTTGCAACACCCAAGATCAGAAGACAATGAAACCACACGTAGTAGAGTTTTCAGGGGGAAATGTTGGGAACAACCTCATGCCCAACTAAGTCTGTTGTCTTTCAAGGCAACAGCATATACTTTCAGATTTGCAAGGCCTGGTACCATAGACCTTCCCGTCCTTTCATTAACACATCTCAAAGATCTGCTACTCAAAAGAGTGGTCAAAATGAAGATCTCAGTAATGAGGAGATCATGATCCACTTTAAGACCAGCATTGTTCATGCTGGACCCACACACAGGTATTTGATTGGCCTCCATGTGGTCTGGTCAGTTCTGTGGCCACGGGCTGTGGTTTGGCCTGCAAGAACCTCCTTGAGCTGCTCCTCTTAAGGTCTCCGTCATTTCCCGGAAAGTGGATTTCTTGCATCACATGCTTTACCTCATGTTTCAGAAGAAATGTCATGATTGATGACCACATGAAACTGATTTGGCTCCAGGGTCTGTAATATTGGCCAAACTATTTACATGGTTGAGAGCCAATGCCGAGAAGAACCAAACACTTCCTCTTCCTCAAAACCAGAGCTGTGTAGTGCATCGTATTCATCATTAGCATCACCAAGAGCTTCACATGTTTTCTATGTCTTTTTTTTTTTTTTTTTTTGAGACAGTCTGGCTTTGTTGCCCTGGGTCTGCTCTTGAAATCCTGGACTCAAGTAATCCTTCCACCTTAGTCTCCCAAAGTGCTGGGATTACAGGCGTGAGCCACTGTGCCCAGCTGTTGTCTGCATCTTTAAGACTTCAATGGTTACCTGATTTCTCTGACTTTTAACTAGGAAGGAATAGTAAAAGGTCTAAGCAGCCACGTTGTCAGAAAGCTTCAGTTCATACTGTCCTCCACCTGGGACTTGTGAATGTCCCTGTGTTACCTATGGCTGGACTCAGTATATTCATTATGTTCATATAATGCAAATATTTAGAAGTGAGGCTGACCTGTTTTTTATATTTTTTAAAGTAAATCTCAGAATCAGAGAAATTATCATTTCCTTTTGATCTAAGAAGTTAGTGACTCACTTTAGTAAGAGAAATATTTTTAAAGGCACAGAAAAAAGACTAAGAATTATAATAATATAAGAAAATATTTCTGACTAGAAATATTACAGTATAACTATTGCTGGGTAATTAGCCCTCCGCCCACCTCTGAAATTACTGACTTGAACAATGTATTTGGAACCTTCAGAAACAAAGCCAATAGTGTATAAATACATACATTATAAGACCTTTATTATAGGGAATTTATTATGAGGAATTGGCTCATGGATTGTGGAAGATGAGAAGTCCCATAGTCTGCCATCTGCAAGCCGGAGACCCGGGAAAGCTGGTGGTACAGTTCCAGGCTGAGTCGAATGGCCTGAGAACCAGGGGCACTTGATGGTGTAAGCCCCAATTTGAGGGCAGGAGAAGACTGATGTCCCAGCTCAAGTAGTCAGGCAGAGGGAGCAAGTTCTACCTTTCCAGGCCTTTTGTTCTGGCCTGCAATGGACTGGGGAAGGAACACTGGGGAAAGCAATCTGCTTTACTCAGTCTATGATTCCAGTGTTAATCTCATCCAAACACCTTTACAGACATACCCAGAATAAGGTTTATCTATTCAGGCATCTTGTGGTCTAGACATAAAATTAACCATCACAAACAACATGCATTTATTGTGCTCAAGGGTTCTGTGGATCTGGAATTTCAACAGGGCACAGGAGGGAGGGTTTGTCTTTATTCCCTGGTGTCTGAGACCTCAGCTCAGTAAGACTCAAGCTGGCAATGACTTGGTAGCTGGGGGCTGGAAGCATCTGGAAGCTCTTTCATTGCCCTGCCTGGTGCCTGGGTTGTCATGACTTGAATACTAGGATTACTGAGCGGAGCAGTCACCAGCTTGCCCAGATTCAGAGAAAGGGGGACACAGACCCCAACCTCAATCAGCAGAGTAGCAAAAGAATTTCTGGCCATACTTTCCAAAACGACCTGGTAATAACTTGTTAACATCGGTTTTCTTTGGCTCATAGGATTTGGGATGGTGTTCTGTGTTGAACTGTGTCCCGCCACCCCCTTCCAAATTCATATGTTGAAGTTCTAACCCCCACTACCTCAGAATGTGACTATTTGGAAATCGTGTGTTAATTACTTAAGTTAGAATGAGGTCATACTGGAGTGGGGTGGGCCTCAAATCTAATAAAACCAGTGTCCTTATAAGAAGGGGAAATTTGGATACAGATTTGCACACTGGGAGGACACCATGTGAAGATGAAGGGAGAGGTCAGTGTAATGTTCTGTCAACCAAGGGATGCCAGAGATTGCCAGTAAAACACCAGAAGCTAGCTGGGAGGTGTGGAACAGACCCTTCCCTCACAGCCCTCAGAAGGAACCAACCAGCCCTGCCAACACCTTGATCTTGCACTTCTGGCCTTCAGAACTGTGAGACAAAAAATGTCTGTTGTTAAACCATGCAGTCTGTGGCACTTTGTTATGACAGCCCTCGCCAACAAATACAGATGGTTTTAAGGTTTTTTATACTTTTCATATTTTTGACAGGGAACATATATTTCTTTAATAATGAGAAAAATAGATTTGATTTAATTTAATGTTTTCAATTTCTTTGTTCCGTAAAAACATGAAAATATGCCAAAATCTTTCCATGGTTGTGTCTAGGTAATGTGACTACAGGTAATTAAAAAAATCCCATCTACTGAAAACGTTTTCTCTAATGAGTATGTGTCACCCTTATTATGGTGAGGAAAAGAAGGCTGGAAAAGCCACCATGGGAAGTAGAAAGAGCACCTGCCCTGGGTCCCACTCCGCTGGGGAGTAGCTCTGAGTCCGGCTCCCAGTGTGTAACAGGGGGAGTCTTCCTCAGTGTTGGGAGAGGCAAATGCATGCATCTATGCAGACACACACAGAATCCCGGAATCCAGTATCTGGCGCTGGGGCCTGGTGAGCTGCACTTTGCCTCCATTCTCCACAGTGTGGTTTACAGCCTGTGGCTGTGATTACGAGTGGTGGTGGAAGATGTCAGTACTTTAAGATATACATATATATATTTTAAAATATCTATATATGGATATATATATTATATCTATAATATATAGATTATATATCACCTATATATAGATAATATATATATAGAGTACTATATATATATAATCTATCTATCCATCTATATGAGAGAGAGAGAGAGAGACAGAGAGAGAGACAGAGACAGAGTCTTGCTCTGTCACCCAGGCTGGAGTGCGGTGGTGTGATCATAGTTAATTGCAGCTTTAAACTCCCTGGGCTCATGCAATCCTCCCACCTCAGCCTCCTGAGTATCTGGGGCCACAGGAGCATACCACCATGCCTGGCTAATTTATTTATTTATTTATTTTGTAGAGAAAGCATCTCCCTTATGTTGCCCAGGCTGGCCTCAAACTTCTGGGCTCAAGTAATCCTCCTACTTTGGCCTCCTGAAGTGCTAGGGTTACAGGCATGAGCCACCATACCTGGCCACAAAAAATATTTCAACCACAATCATGTCTCTTTTCATGCTGACTTACCTCGTTGAATGGCCCTGGAGTGGTCATGGGGATTTTAGGACTAGGCTAAGGGAAAGCTGACTTATGGATATATTTAGTTTGATTTCAGTGAATGTCTTAATCCATTTCAGCTGCTATAGCAAAATCCCATAAACTGGATGGCTTATAACAACAGAAATTTATTTCTCACAGTTCTGGAGGCTGGGAAGTCCAAGATCATAGCACCAGCAGATTTGGTGTCTGATGAGGGCCCCTTTCCTGGTTACAAATGGCACTTTCTCTCTTAATGTCCTCATGTGGTGGAAGAGGTGAGGGGTCTTTCTCAGGCCTCTTCCATAGGGCACTAATCCCACTCATGAGGGCCCCAGCCTCATGACCTCATCACCCCCCCAAATGCACCACCCCTTAGTAGCATCACCTTAGGGGTTAGGATTTCAACCTAGGAATCTTGAGGGAACCCAAACATTCAGGCCATAGCAATGGGATTTACTTATGTGCTTTGCAATCACTTCCTTAAGTAGGTAAGTTATTCATAACTATCCTGGGGTGGGAGGGGCTTTCAAAGATAGTCCTACTGACCACTGTGCCTACTCACCAGGCTTGTGACGTGTGCTACGAGAAGAACACTTTTTGCAGAGCCTAACATTGGCAGTATGTAGGTAGTAGAGGAACATTTGAAATATATAGAACCAGCAGTCTGCAGGTATTTTTCCAGATTTTATAGCTCCTATATGAAAAACACTTGGCAGAGATTTCTCCAAATTTGTCAATAATTCTAACAATTTACATGACATTATCAATGAGTTGAGAAGCTGAAATAAATTATTCTAAACTATTAATGTTGGAAAGAACTCCAAATTTTAGCCAAATTAAAGGAAAAACAACTTTTATTCTCACTAGAGAAAATAATTTTAAATCTTTATTTTTTAGGAAAAAAGTGTTTTAAAAGAGCATGCAACTAAAAAAGATAGGAAAGGGAGCACTACCGAAATGTCCCAGGCAGTTAGTAAAAATGTTATTTCATATTTTGGTGAAAAATTTTGTTTGCTGTATTTGTCAGCGTTATTAAATTTATGCTTTATGTTTTTTTGTTCTAGATACATATTTGTGTTTATGATTAAATTTGCATTTGTAAGTTTGCCTTCTTTTTCTTGTAGAGAGCCTCCAAAATTATAAAAACACAGAGCCCCTCAAAATCTGAGTCTGACCTGAAGGAGCCCAGCTTTCAAATCGATCCTTGTTTTCCCACAAAGTTGTTATTTGAGTCTGATGCTACTATTTAGAATTGTAGGTTCTCTGTTTTTCCATTTCCTACAGAAGAACTCAGATTGAGAAAAGCTATTTACCAATCATTTCCTTTTAACCTAAAAGGTTTCAGTGACTCTCTCTAGCAAGAGTTTGAGGGTGCATGCTATTTACCTAGTCAGAGCAAAACCATGATTCAGAGTGTGAGAAAATGGCTCTCATTTTCCTAGGAAGTTTTCAATATAAAAACATGCTGTGCTTTTGAATGAAAAGTAAAATTTAAAGCCAATGGATGGAAATTTCTTGTAAGAAGATGTAAAAAACCCCTAGCTGTTTCTATTCTTGAAAATAAGAGTTGTTTTTTCACAGGGTCTAAGACTTGAATACATTTTTTCGAAATGAATTTGGCCTGTTGTATTAAGGCCTGTGATAATACGATTTCATTCCTTGGTGCAGCTCCTTAAGTACCTTCCTTCTGTAGCCACTGTGCTTTGGTGTTTTAAAGTTAAAAAACTCAGGAAAAAATAGTCTTGGGTCATAAAATTACATTTGCATATATGGGGTTTTAATTTGAAGCCAGGGGTTTCTTTGCCTTTATCTCTGATCAAAGATAAGCTTCACTTATTTTGCTGAACTTATTCTGTGGTTTAAAAAATATTTCCTGTTTTAAAATATAACAGATCTGTTACAGAAAGAACATAAACTAAGTATCCAGCCTAGAATATTTGTCCCCTTTCCCCTATGCTGGGATGGAGAAAAAGAAAAGAGCATGTCTTCAGAATACAGTAGCCTTATGTTAAAATGTCAGCTCCATCTTTCATTAGCTGTGTGACCTTGGGCAAGTTACTTAGTCTTCTCATCTATTAAATCATGCGTATTAATATTCATCTTGTGAAGTTGTGAAAATTACATGATAAATTAAAAACAAGAAAACAATCAAAAAACCTTTTCCCATCTAGTTATAGTAAGTACCTGGCACAAAAAGGAACTAAGCAAACACTTAAAATATGAGAAAGATAAGGCCTTAAGCCTGCTCCTGAGGAGTGTGGAATCTGGAATATGGCAGAAAAGAAGGATCAAAGGGGAAGGGTTAAATTATGGAGCATTTGAAGTTGGTGCATTTCGAAGGAAGTGGTGGAAAGAAGTTGAGTGATTCTAGTTTGGAGAAAGTTTTATATAAAGCTGAGGAGTAAGTGATAAATTACATGTAGGGGACCACTGTTATATTTTCTTGGTTGAATTAAAGAGTAGAAGTTCATTTATTTCTTTATTCTTTTATTAATTCAACAAACATGTAGTGAAATGTTTAACATGTGCCAGGAAGTTTTTTTAGTTCTGGAGAATACAAAGAGAAAGGAGACCCATTTCTCACCCTTAAGGAAGTTATAGTCTACTGGGAGGAGAGAAACAGGAAAAAATGGTAGATATTAAAATGTGGGGTACAAAAGAGAAAGGGAGGGAGGTGGGGTCTGTGAGTTCTTTAGGTGTCAGAGGTAATTCTTGAGCTGAGGTGTCTGCATGGCTGCGAAGGTCCGGTGGCAGGGTGTGTGGACTGTGTAGACATTGTAGGTAGGGAACTGGAATGAACGAAGTCCCAGGTGTACATCAGCTTTGCATGTGTGTGGGAGCTGCTCCAGAGTAACAGCATGTGGGGTCAGTGATGGAGGGCTGGCTTGCATGCATCAGCACAAGCCCGTGAGGGGCCACGTCAGGGAATAATGACAGTGGCTGTGGCAGTGACTCCAAGAACAAATAGATGTAACCTAGGGCAGGGGTCCCTGATGCCTGGGCCACGAACCGGGTACTGGGTACTACTGCTCTAGGGGAAGGTCTGAAAGACCAGGTGAAAGGGTGGGATTTGAAAATTTTGGGAAACATGATGAAGGTGGGGTTTGGAATGTGAGGCTTCCAACTGTATATACTGCTCAAATTGCATGAGGAGGTGGCGCATGCCTGTAATCCTAGCACTTTGGGCCCAGGAGTTCAAGACCAGCCTAGGCAACATGGCGAAACCCTGTCTGTATAAAAAATACAATAAAAGTAGCCGGGCCTGGTAGTGGACTCCTGTAGTCCCAGCTACTCAGCAGGCTGAGATTGGAGAATTACCTGAGCCCAGGAGGTTGAGGCTGCAGTAGGTGCCAGATTGAGACTGTTTAAAAAAAATTGCGTGGGGAAGACAGCTGAGACAAGGATATTAAATAAGAAGACATTTTATAAGCCTGGCCATTTGAAGATATAGGCTTAGACCAGTAGATTGTAATTTAAATTTTACTTTTTTATTTTCCAACTCTTTAATCTCTAGGAATAACTGGAAATTTTAAGAAGTTACTATCTCTGCTATGGGGATGGATAGTCAGACAGCAATGTTCACAAATTACTCTTGAAACTTGATGCAAACAACCTGTTTAAAAACTGATGTAACGAGAGGAATTTCATGGATGCAAATGAACACCTGTGAAAATTCTTCGGCAAGAACTGTTTCATTTAGCAACACCAGGTTAGCAGTTTGAGAGAGGATCTTTTTTGGGTCTACATGCCCAAATTTACAGACTGTTTTGCTACTTGAATCTGCCATAATGTTTGTTGAATAAATAATCTCTATCTTTGAGGGAGCTGTTGAATTTTTTTACAATCAAAATCCTGAAAGGAATACATTTAGATTGTATGCATCTCAATGTGCTCCGAGGCCTGTGGATGTTTGCTGTTCTTTTTAAAGAATTTAGGCATCTTAACTCTTGGCATATAAAATTATTCTTAGGAACGATATGGATATAATTCAAGTGTAATACCACCTATACATTTGCCAGAAATCACAGATATATATGTGTGTGTGTGTGTGTGTGTGTGTGTGTATATATATATATATATATATATATATATATATACTTTTTCTCATTTCTAGTAACAATGAAAATCCTGTAACTTTTTGCTACAGATGAAAATAACTGGGATCATGAATGAAATGACCAGATGGTTGCCCCATCACCTAACAGTGAGGTGCCCCCGCTTGAAATGTTGCCCCCGCTTGAAATGTTTCTGGTTTCTTTTTTTTTTTTTTTTTCGAGACAGAGTCTCGCTTTGTCACCCAGGCTAGAGTGCAGTGGCGCGATCTCGGCTCACTGCAAGCTCCACCTCCTGGGTTCACGCCATTTTCCTGGCTCAGCCTCCCTAGTAGCTGGGACTATAGGCGCCCGCCACCACGCCTGGCTAATTTTTTTGTATTTTTAGTAGAGACGGGGTTTCACCGTGTTAGCCAGGATAGTCTCGATCTCCTGACCTCGTGATCCACCTGCCTTGGCCTCCCAAAGTGCTGGGATTAAAGGCGTGAGCCACCGCGCCTGGCCAACATGTTTCTGGTTTCTTAAGACTTTAGTATATTGTTCTTAACATTTATTTGGGATGTATTTGCATTTTTGGAAGCTGACCAGTTTCTACACATATCTAAATGCCTCCTTACATTTGACAGTACATTTAACATGCTAAAGTACTTTTCTTAGATATGATCAATTTTATCCTTGAAATAAGCCTATTGGGAGCCATGGACACCAGCTCATTGTGGTGAGGACGCTGAACTCAATGGTGCAGATACAGTGGTGAAGGAGACACACACCCTGTGGTATGGTGGAGTAGACTCCTAACAGACCAACCCTGCCACAAATATAGCAACTATAAACTGGACAAACTACCAAAAGTAACTACTTAAGAGACCTGGGAAGTGAGCAAATGCAGGCAGAGGGGAGTTGAATCTTGGAGGAGAGTGTGAGTTTCCTGTTTTTCAGCCTTGTCCAAAAGATGGGCCCTGGTCACAAAGTGTCTGGGGGTGGCTAAAACTCCCATAGAAAGACTGCCATGTTTCTGGTCTAGGGAACCAGGGGCTGGAGCCTGGGGCAATCATGGCCACGAGAGTGAGGGAGAAATCCCAGAGAGGACAGAGCCAGAGAAGGGGGCACCCAAATGCTGTATCTGAACTCTGCCCAAGTCTCTAGCTGACCCGTGAACCACATGCACACAAACCAGATTCAAAGCCACTTGCAGCTAAGGTTTGGAGTACTGAATTGAGATTTGAATGGCCACTCACCATGAGAGACATGGAGTTTACAGCCTTCAGTGTAACCAAGTCAATTGCTTGTTAAAACAAAGTATCAACAGCCTTGGAATGAATACAACAGAATTTAGAGTCTTGACTTATGAAACATCCACCATGTCCAAAACTACTCAAAATATGAAGGACCAGGAAAATGTGATGTATTGGCAACAAAGAAGTTAATAAAAAGAGGTCAATTTCAGATGACCGAAATGTTGAAACTATTAGTCAAGGAATTTAAAGCAGCTATTGTGCTCAATAGAGTGAAAAAAATGCTCCTAATAAATGAGAAGATAGGAACTTTTAGGAAAGAAATGGAAAATATATAAAGAAAATATACAAAAAGGGGAAATTTTAGAACTGACAAATACAATACATGAAAAAAAAATTGCTGGATGGGCTCTAATAGCATAATGGAGATAGAGAGGAAAGAACCAGTGAATTTGAAGATAGAGCAATAGAAATTGTCCCATCTAAAGGAGGAGGAGAGGAGGAGGGGGGCGGGGGAAGGGAGTGAGAAACATAGAGAGCCTCAGGAATGTGTGGCACAATATAAAAAAAACTGATATTATGGATAGTTAAAATATCAGGAAGAGAGGAGAAAAAGAATGGGATGGCAAATATTTGAAAAAATAGTGGCTGAAAACATCCTAAATTTAATAAGATGTTTACATTTTCTGATTGGATAAGCTTTGTGAATCCCAAATGGGATAAATACAAAGAAAAACAAACTAGACACATCATAGTCAAACTACTGAAAACAAACAAAAAACAAAGAGGAATCTTAAAAGCGTAAATAAAAATGACACATTTTATATATAGGAGAATAATGATTTCAATGGTTGTGGACTTCTCAGCAGAAATTATAGAAGTCAGGGACAGTCGAATGAAATTGTTGAAGTGCTTAAAGAAAAAACTGTCAGCTTAGAAATCTCTGTCTAGCAAAAATACCCTTCAAGAATGAAAGCAAAATGAAGACATCTTCAGATATCAGAAAACTAAGAGAATTCATCACCAGAAGACCTGCACTTCCAGAAGCTAAAGAAAGTTGTACAGACTGAAGGGAGATGATATGAGAAAAGGAATAAAAAGCATAAAAAATTATAAATATTGGAGTAAACATCAAAGACCAATTTTCCTCTTAATTTCTTTCACATATGCACAACTGTATAAAGGACATAATATTGACTTAAGGTTTATATCACATGTAGATAGATTTTATGGCAGCTATGGCATAAAAGATGGTGGCAGTGTTGGTGGTGTGGCCGGGGAGGGTAAATGGACCAGTAAAATTGCCAGTAGACTGAGAAGTTAAGGGATTATATTATAGTCTCTAGAGGAGCTTCTAAGAAATCATGCAAAAGACTAAAAGACCAATAGGTAAGTTAAAATGAAATTATAAAAATATTCACTTAATCCAAAAGAATATAGGAAAGGGAGAACAAGAGGGACTAACAGCAGAGGAGACAAACATAAAGCAAATAATAAAATAATACAGCATAACCAATTAGTTTTATCCCAGGAATTCAAGGTTTGTTTAACATTAGAAAATCAATATAACTCACCATATTAACAGAATAAAGGAGAAAAACCATCTGATCATTTTCATATGTAGATAAAAAATATGACAAAATTTGATATCCATTTATAAGAAAAATTCTCACCAAACTGACTATGAAGGACTTCTTCAACTTCATAAAAAGCATCTATGAAAAACCTACGGTGAGCATTATACTTAATGGTGAAATATTAAATGATATTCTACCAAACTCAGAAAAAAGGCAAATGTGCTCATTTTTTTTACCACTTCTACTCAATATTGAATTGGAGCTTCTAGCCACTGCAATAAAGAATGATAAAATGATAAAGATTGGAAAGAAGGAAGCAAAATCGTCCTTATTTGCAGGCAATACGATTGTTTACATATGATTGTTTTCTACATCCTAAGGATCTAAAAAATAATTAGAAGTAGTATATTATTCCATTCTCACACTGCTATAAAGAACTACCTGAAACTGGGTCATCTTTGAAGAAAAGAGTCTTAATTGACCCACAGTTCCACAGGCTGTACAGGAGGCATGGCTGGGGAGGCCTCAGGAAACTTACAATCATGGCAGAAGGTGACAGGGATGCCAGCACGTCTTCACATGGTGGCAGGTGAGAGACAGAACGAAGGCGGAGGTGCTACACACTTTTAAAAGAAGCAGGTCTCATGAGAATTCCATCACAAGACAGCACTAGAAGGATGGTGCTAAACCACTAGAAACCACCCTTATGATTCACCTTTCACCAGGCCCCACCTCCAACACTCAGTATCACAATTCAACATGAGATTTGGGTAAGTACACAGAACCAAACCATATCATTTTGCACCTGGCCTTTACCAAATGTCATGTCCTTTTCACGTTTCAAAAAACAATTATGCCTTCCCAAGAATCCTCCAAATTCTTAACTCGTTCCAGAATTAACTCAAAAGTCCCAGTCCAAAGTCTCATCTGAGACAAGGCAAGTACTACTCCTCTGCCTATGAGCCTGTAAAATAAAGAAACAAGTTAGTTAGTTCCAAGATACAGTGCAGGTACAGGCATCGAGTAAATGCTCCCATTCCAAAAGGGAGAAATTGGCCAAAACAAAGGGGCTATAGGCCTCTTGCAAGCAAAACCCAGGAAGGCAGTCATTTAATCTCCAAGCTCCAAAATACTCTCCTTTGACTCCATGTCTCACATCCAAGGCACACTGATGCAAGGGGTGGGCTCCCAAGGCCTTGGGCAGCTCTGCCTCTGTGGCTTTGCAGGGTACAACCCCCAAAGCTACTTTCATGGGCTGGGATTGAGTGCCTGCAGCTTTTTCAGGCGAACAGTGCATGCTGTCAGTGGATCTATCATCCTGGGGTCTGGAAGATGGTGGCTCTCTTCTCACAGCTCCATTAGGCAGTGCCCCAGTGGGAACTTGGTGGGAGCTCCAACCCCACATTTCACCTTCACACTGCCCTTGTAGAGGTTCTTCATGAGGGATCCAGTCCTGCAGCAGACTTCTGCCTGGACATCCGGGTGTTTCCATACATCCTCTGAAATCTAGGCAGAGGCTCCCAAGTCTCAACTCTTGCCCTTTGCATACCCACAGGCCCAACACCATAGGGAAGCCATCAAGACTTGGGGCTTACACCCTCTGAAGCAATGACCTGAGCTGTACTGTGGCCCCTTTTAGCCATGGCTGAAACGGGAGCAGCTGGGATGCAGGGCACCATGTCCCAAGGCTGCACAGAGCAGTAAGGCCCTGGACCTGGCCCACGAAACCATTTCTCCCTCCTAGGCCTCTGGGCCTGTAATAGGAAGGGCTGCTATGAAGGTCTCTGAAATGTCTTAGAGGGATTTTCCCCATTGTCTTGGCTATTAATATTTGGCTCCTTTTTACTTATGTAAATTTCTGCAGCTGGCTTGAATTACTTCCCAGAAAATAGGTTTTTCTTTTCTACTACATGGCAGGTTGAAAATTTTCCAAGCTTTTATACTCTGCTTTCCTTTTAAATATAAGTTCCAATATCAAACCACCTCTTCGGAAATGCATATGAGCATATGCTGTTAGAAGCAGCCAGGTCACTTCTTGAATGCTTTGCTGCTTTGAAATTTCTTCCACCAGATACTCTAAATAATCTCTCTCAAGTTCAAAGTTTCACAGATCCCTAGAGCAGGGGCACAATGCCACCAGTCTCTTTGCTGAAGCATAGCAAGAATGACCTTTACTCCAGTTCCCAATAAGTTCCTCATCTCCCTCTAAGACCTCCTTGGCCTGGACTTCATTGTCCATATCTCACTATCAGTATTTTGGTCAAAGCCATTCAACAAGTCTCTAGGAAGTTCCAAACTTTCCCTTATCTTCTTGTCTTCTTCTGAGCCTTCCAAACTGTTCCAACCTCTGCCCATCCAAAGCTGCTTCCACATTTTCAGGTATCTTTTGTAGCAATGCCCCACTTCTCTGATACCAATTTCCTATATTAGTCCATTCTCACACTGCTATAAAGAACTATCTGAGACTGGGTAATCTATGAAGAAAAGAGGTTTAATTGACTCACAATTCTGCAGGCTGTACAGGAGGCATGGCTGGGGAGGCCTCAGAAAACTTACAATCATGGCAGAAGGTGAAGGGGAAGCCAGCACATCTTCATATGATGGCAGGTAAGAAAGAATGAAAGGGGAGGTGCTACACACTTTTAAAAGAAGCAGATCTCATGAGAATTCCATCATGAGATAGCAGTGGAGAGATGGTGCTAAACCATTAGAAACCACCCCCATGATCCAATCACCTCCCTCCAGGCCCCACTTCCAACACTCAGGGTCACAATCCAACATGAGATTTGGGTGGGGACACAAGAGCCAAACCACATCAAGTAGTAAGTAAATACGGCAAAGTATATGAAATTAAAAATACAAAAATCAATTCTGTTTTCTTTTTTAAATTTTACAGGCAGGGTCTTGCTCTGTTTACCTAGGCTGGAGTGCAGTGGCACAATTATAGCTCACTGCAGCCTCAAATTCCTTGGCTCAAGCAATCCTCTCACCTCAGCCTCCTAAGTTTCTGGGACTACAGGCATGTGCCACCATACCCGGCTTATTTTTTATTTTTGTCAAGATGGTCTCACTCTGTTGACCAGGCTGGTCTCGAACTCCTGGCCTCAAGTGATCCTCCCGCCTTGGCCTCACAAAGGATGAGATTTCAGACATGAGCCACTGTGCCTGGCCAATTCTATTCTTATATTTTAGCAGCAAACCACTGGAAAATGAATTGAAAAGCAATTTCATTTATAATAGGTTCAAAAATAAAATATTTAGTAGTACATTTAAGAACAGATGTACACAGGTGTATATCTACATTTAGATGTACACCTGTTACACGTAACAGATGTACACATCAGCATAGTGTATTATTAAACTTTTAGATTTTTGCTTATCTCATGGGAGAAATAGTGTCTTCGTGTAGTTTAGTTTTTTTAAAAAAATGAGTGAACTTGTGTATCTTTTCAAAAGTTAAAGAGCCATTTGCTTTTTTTTTTTTTTAAACATATTTTAAAATAGAGAGTGGGTCTCACTATGTTGCTCAGGCTGGTCTCTTAGCTTCTGGGCTCAAGCTGTCTGCCCACCTCAGCCTTCTAAAGTGCTGGGATGACAGGCATGAGCCACCATGCCCAGTTCCATTTGCTTTTCTTTTTCTGTGTATTGGCTGTTCGTATCCCTTGCACATTTCTTATTGAGTTTTGTTCTTTCCCTTATCTTTTTACAGGAACTTTATATGTTATAGAAGTTAGCCCCAAGAATGAAATCGTGTCCTTTGCCAAAACATGGATGGAGCTAGAGGCCTTTATCCTAAGTGAGTTAACGCAGGAACAGAAAGCCAAATAGTGCATGTTCTCACTGATAAGTGGGAGCTAAACTATGGGTTCACAAAGGCATGCAGAGTGGTACTGTGGACATTGGAGACTCAGAATGGGGGAGGCTAGGAGGGAGGTAAGGGATGAAAAAGTACCTGTTGGGTACAATGTACACTACTTGGGTGACGATGGGTCCACTAAAATCCCAGATTTAACCACTGTACAATTCATCCATGTAACCAAAACCCACCTGTACCCCAATGCTATGAAAATAAATAAAACCAAATTAGCTCTGTTTCTGTTAGATGAGATGCAAATATTTTCCCAAGTTTGTCCTTTGTCTTTTGACTTTGTTTATGGTGTTTCACTCATGCAGATGTTTTTTATTTTCATGTTTTTAACTTGTCATTATTTTCTTTCATGTCTTCTGGATTTTAAGTCATGTTATCAAGGCTTTCCCACTCTGATATTATAAATGAATTTTTCCTCATTTCTCTTAGAACTTTGATTCTTTCACTTCCCACATTTAACCTTCCACGTATCCAGAATTTCCCCTAGCATAAGTTGATACGGTCCCAATGTTTCTTTTTTTTTTTTCCCAAATGGCCACTCATTTATACCAACACCATTTATTGAATCGTCTATAGTCCCCACTGATTTGAAATGCCAGCTTTACATACCAAAGTCCTGTATGCATTTGCCTCTGTTCTGTTTGGTAGGTCTATTCAAGCTCCAGTTCCCAAAAGTGTTGAGTGTCGCTTAAAATCTAGAAGGGCTGGTTTCTAGTTTTCCATAATTGCTCCTCTTTTCTAGTGTCCTCTGTCCTATTAGGGCTTATTGATTTTTAAATATGATTTGTGGATTCAGTTTTCTTTAGTTCTAGTGAGCAACAAAAACAACCAAGAAAAAAATAAAAAAAACCCTCCCTGTTTTCCTTTCTTTCTTTCTTTTTTTAATCAAGATCACCTTAAGTTTAAAAATTAACGTAGGATAACTTGACATATTTTATGATTTTTATGTTACTCTCCAAAAATATAATAAGTGGTTCTATTTATTCAACTCTACTCCTTTGTCCTGCAGGAACATTTTGTTTCCTTATCAAGTCTGATATTGTCTTTTGGTCTGAGATAGACATATTTAAAAAAATTGTGTTCATTGATTTCTATCTTATTAAAGACTGGTTTTGCTAACTTTGTTCCTATCTATTTTTTGTGAACGTACATGGGGCCTTTTCTTTTGCTATATTTTCTAGCTATTAGTATGTACAGAGGCTTTTGATTTCTGTGTATTTATTTTATACCTTGCTTGCTCAGTGTGTTTTATTTCTAGTAATTTTTGTTATTAGTTGATTCTCATGAATTTTCCAGATATCCAATTATATAATTTGTAAATAGTCATAGCCTTACCTCCTCTCCTACAATTTTTGTTTCTCTGATTTCTTTCTCTTGTCTGGTTGCTTTAGATAGTACCTCCAGAGTGTGTTAGATAATAAAGGGAAATAATGCCAATCAGACTTTTTTCTGACTTCAAGGGAGTTTCTAGTGTTTCCTTATTAAGTCTGATATTGCCTTTTGGTCTGAAATAGACATATTTTTTTAAAAATTGTGTTCATTCATTTCTATTTTATTACATATATTTTTAAAAAACCTCAAAAGGCCTGGTGCAGTGGCTCACACCTGCAATCTCAGCACTTTGGGAGGCTGAGATGGGAGGATTGCTTGAGGCCCGGAGTTCAAGACCAGCCTGATCAACATAGTGGGACCCTATCTGTATTATTTTTAAAAACATAATAAATAAAAACCTCATAATGGAGATTAAATTTTGATAGGGCTTGTCTTACTATCTATGGATCTAATCATGTTACTTTCCCTCTAACTTATTAATATGATATATCATATTAATAATTCCTACATCAAGTCATATTTGCATTTTGGAATAAATGTCACTTGGTCATCATATATTCTATTAGATAATATTTTATAATTTTTACATCAATATTTGTAAGACTGATCTGTAATTTTCCTTTTTGTGTATGTGAAATTGTTACTGGGTTTTGGTAGCAGTTATAGTTGCTTTATCAAGATAATTTAAAAGTTTTTTTTTTCTTTTTCATAGTCTAGGTAGTTTAAATAGCACTGGAATGATCTGTTTTTTAAAGATTTGGAAGAAATCCTGTGAAACCAACTGGACTTAGGGAATTAGGGAGAGTGGTTGGCTAG
Source organism: Homo sapiens (assembly GCF_000001405.40). Lineage (NCBI taxonomy): Eukaryota > Metazoa > Chordata > Mammalia > Primates > Hominidae > Homo > Homo sapiens. The sequence goes on from NC_000006.12 coordinate 159,029,451, forward strand.
TTTCTTTGTTTCATCTATGAAATAAATCTGCTTAAGATTTTTCTGTTTTTTGTAATCAGGTTGGTAAATTATGTCTTCCTAGAAAAATGATAATCTCATTCATATTTCAAATATAGTTGCATAGCGTATTCAAATATATTAATACAATATATAATATAATATATATTAATATAATGTATATTATGTATTATAATATATAGTACTTCAAATATATTTGCATAGAATATTCAAATATATTTGCAAAGTAGTCTTTTGATTCTTCTAATTTTCTGTAGTTATTGTCCCATTAGCATTTCTCATGTTGTATGTTTTTAATTTCTCCCTTTTCCTTGCTTAGATTAAGCAGAAGTTTGTTTTATTTATTTTTTCAGAGAGCCAGCTTTGGTTGTATTTATCAGTTTTATTCTTTTTCTGTTTTCTAAATTATTAATTTCAACTTTATTTTTATTATTTCCTTTTCTAGCTCCATAAGTGGTATGCTGAATTCATTCATTTTTACTTTTGTTTATTAATATAATCATATGAGGATGTAAATTTTCATCTGAACGCCACTGTAGCTATATCTCAGATTCTTGGTGTTAATATATATAATTAGCTGTTGTCATAATTATGATTTATGGTAGAAAGCCACTAGAGAGTTAAGAAAATAAGTGAATTTGCTTACTTAGGATGGGCCTAAATTAAGAAGGGCCTTGAATGATAGATGGTAGGCAGAGGACTTTAGACTCAATAAAAATAGTGTTAAGAAGACATTGAAAATCCTTGGTTAGGAAACTAACAAGATACGTGTTGTTTGGAAAGATGAACAGCCCGTATATCAGCAGTTACCTTATCTACTGCTTTGTGTTTTTCAAAACAAATTTTGGATAAGAAATGCCCTTTTCAGCAAAGATGGAAAAATAACATCTAACTATTTACTTCTCAAAGATATTGCCAAATCCTGTAAGTGAATATCCAGCTGGAACCTTCCACAATTGTTTTGAATGTTGTACTTGCACTTGTTTGAAATCTTTAAGTTTCCTTTAAATGTGAAGTATATCCTAAAGTAATGAGACCATGAAGCAGCCATTCATTTCTACTATGTATTTTGTGTTATTATCACTCACTTGGAACTTACCTTTGCTGTCAAAGGTGTCTTATTTCTCTACTAGATTGTAAATTCCTTATACAAATGCAATATTTTTATATTGTAGGAGGCCAATATTTGTTACTAATTTATTTTGCTTAAAACTACTGTTGTATAATTGTAAAATTCTCACAGTGAGCATACAAATAATTGAAATACTCTTGAGACTGTTATCTACCTTATCTTTTTATTATTCCTAATCATATGGAACATTTTCAATGGTCTCATATTAAGTAGATAGTCTACTTTATCCTGCCTTTTTAATCATTGAGCAACTAAATTTGGATTTGTTTCGTTGTACCTACGATCTCTTTTATTTGACTTTTGTGTCAAGGCCTTGCAGTATCCATCTCCTAATTTCTTACTGATTTTGCTGGGAGAGGCAATTGGCTATAAAAACTGTATTCTTAGGTTCCTCTGCTGGTAAGAGTAGCCACGTACTGGCCGAGTGCGGTGGCTCACGCCTGTAATCCCAGCTCTTTGGGAGGCCGAGGCAGGCAGATTGCCTGAGCTCAGGAGTTCGTGACCAGCCTGGGCAACACGGTGAAACCCCGTCTCTACTAAAATACAAAAAATTAGCTAGGTGTGGTGGCATGCGCCTGTACTTCCAACTACTTGGGAGGCTGAGGCAGGAGAATGGCTTGAACCCAGGAGGCAGAGGTTGCAGTGAGCCGAGATCGTGCCACTGCACTCCAGCTTGGGCAACAGAGTGAGACTCCGTCTCAAAAAAAAAAAAAAAAAAAAAAAAAAAAAAGAGAAGCCACGTACTAAGTTCTGGCCTCTGGGATGGAGGTAGAGGTTATTGAGCAGAAAGTTCCTGCTTGGGATCTGGAGGGAAAGGTTGGGGGAAGAGGATCATGTTCCCAGAAAGGATGGTAGACTAGAAAGTTGAAGTTGTGCACAAGACTGGCTACATAATTTGCAGGGCCCAGTGCAAAGTGGAAATGCAAGGCTCCTGTTCTCAATTATTAATACTCTAAAAATGCCAATAGCAGAGAATTACCCTAGCATTGGGTCCACAGGTCATAGCCCCATGCAACTGGCTCTGAGTATGAAGGAACCCGGGGCCGGAGGAGGCCATGAGCCTTCATCCCAGCCCTGGGCTGCCAGTCTGTTCTTTTCATAGAGCGCACAAACCTCCTTCTTGGTTAAGCGTCTGTTGTCTGGGTTTTCTGTTACATGCGTTCCGTAACTGATGCAAGTTATCATTACCCTCATCTGATAGATGGAGAAACCGGAGCTCAGACAGGTTTAGTGCCCTGTGCATGGGAGCAGATTTCGGGGTATTCACAGACTCAGGTTCTGTGAATTTGGGTCGTATATTCATTCTGTGTCAACACGTTGTCTTTCTTTTTCCACGGAGATGTTAACATTCTGCATTTCCTATTTCTGGCCAGATTTTGCATTCTGCAAGTTTGCTTGTTTCACAATGCCCCCCTCTTTGTAGCCTGTAGTAGGAGGAAGAACTTCATCCCATTTGTTTTTCCTCATTTACATTTAATTTTTACTCTGGAGTGAACATAATGCAGAAGTTCAGTCCACATTTAAAATATTGCTAAAAAGTGATTCACTTCCAATTCTAGCAAAACGTTTATACCTCTGATTCCTCAGTAATTCTCTTTTTGCAGAGGAAGAGTTAAGATTACATAATTTAATTAAAAAAGAAACTGGAAACATGTAAGATCGCATCCGATGTGAGTTTCTGTCTGACCTTTCAAGAGAGAAGCATGTATTGGCGATTTTTCCAGTGAGATCATGATCAGAAGAATTTATCTATCAATGTATACTTTTAATTTAGGATAAACCTAAGGATAAACAGTGTTTGTAGCTCTTTGCACATTCTATCTATGGCCATAGGATGTGCTATGGCCATTAACTGTCATTTGTTTTGTTAGCGCTAAAAACCATAGCTGCGACTTCAACTTCCTAGGGACCCCAGTGTAACACAGGTGTTGTATTTGTTGCGTTCAAGTTCTGGTGCAATCTTAGTTTTGCTAAGCTCCTGCAAAAGCACCTAACACAAGTCAACATTTCTGAAACAAGTTTTAATTTCTTTCAGTCCTCAGTAGTGCTGGTGTGTGGGTTGGGGGCATGGTGCACAGTGTGTCAGCACAGATAATCCGTGTATCATGGGTCATCCACCTCTCCCCCTCTTTACCGGAGGAGAGAGCATCTCCCAGGGAATCAGACCTGAATTTAAGTTTGAGCTCCTAATTAGGCTTCCAACCCGGTTTTACTATACACTTTGCATCAGGTACATCTGTGATTGTCCCATTTGTCATTAGTGTGGGCCCTTAGGAAGTCAATAGAGGACAGAACTCTGGTGTTCCTGGATCCTTGACTAAAGCATCATTTTATTGTCATCTAAATCTCACTAGAAGCCCTAGCTCTCTGGTTATGGTGAAATATTCAAATTATTGGCATATTCAAGGTATCATTAAGTAGTATTTTGAAAAACTTGGTGTTATGGGTTGAATTGTGTCTTGCCCTATCCAAATTCATATGTTGAAGTCCTAATCCCCAACATCTCAGAATGTGACTATATTTGGAGAGAGGGTCTTTACAGAGGTAAAATGAGGTCATTAGGTTGTGTCCTAATCCAGTATAACTGGTGTCCTTAGAAGAAGGGGAAATTTGGAGACAGACTCACGTAGAGGGAAGATAATGTGAAGAGACACAGGGAGGAGGCCATCTGTGCTAAGGAGAGAGCCCTGGAACCTATTCTCCCTCACAGCCCCAGAAGGAACCAACCCTGCTGAAACCTTGACCTTAGACCTCCGGATTTCAGAACTGTGAAACATACATTTCTGTGGTCTGAGCCGCCTGATCTATGGTACTTTTTACAGCAGCTCTCAAAAACTAATATACTTGGGAGCCAGGTTGGGAAAACCTGTTTGAAAGGCAGATGGACTCCATAGATAGGAGTGGGGCTACCACACTGTGCAATATTTGAAATAGTCAACTGTTGCTGTCTGCACTGTTCAAAGACTAACAATGACATTTGCTTGGGCAGGGAGCTCCTAAACGTTCGTCAGCAAAATGTGCTATTCATTTGTGTAGAGGACTTCCAGTTTCATTCCACTTTTTTAAAATAAGGAAATTTGGGTAGGGTTTTCGTGACCTGAGTCGGGTTTTCGTGACCTGAGTAGGGTCACACGGAGATCAGGTGAATGGTAAAGTGGGAATACATTTGTAACTTCCTGGTTTGTAGTCTTAGTGGTCTATTGATGGGAATCCTCTGATTCTCAATAAGAAGTGGCTATTATTAGAGGCAGAGGATTTTTTTTTTCGGTACTGAAATACTTAGCACAGTGCCTGGCACGTGGTAGATGCTAAAATTGTAACTATTGCTATTAGTGACCAACTCTGGAAAAGGACTGCTTTTCTTAAGTTAGCAGTCAGGTAAGCTCTGCCCCATGAAATTTATATATTATTGGGGCTTAATAAAGTTTTATTATTTATTTTATTTATTTATTATTTTAATTTTTTGAGACTGAGTCTCACTCTGTCACCCTGGCTAGAGTACAGTGGCACGATCTCAGCTCACTGCAACCTCTGCCTTCCAGATTCAAGTGATTCTCCTGCCTCAGCCTCCCAAGTAGCTGGGACTACAGGCACCCATCACCACACCTAGCTATGTTTTGTATTTTTAGTAGAGATGGGGTTTCACCATGTTGGCCAGGCTGGTCTCAGACTCCCAATCTCAAATGATCTGCCCACCTCGGCCTCCCAAAGTGCTGGGATTACAGGTGTGAGCCACCACACCTGGCCCATCAATAAAGTATTTTTAATATTAGGTCTGAGTATGCTGCCTTGAGCAGTCTATTTTACAACATTATTAACTTTGCCCATTATTGATAAATCATCTCCGAAAAGACTCAACACAAAATATTTCTATAACAAATCAGAAGCATGCATGATATTTTATTTTAAAAAGATAAAATAAGGAAAATTGAAGTCCAGCATCTCTAAGATACTGGATAAATATCTTAATAATCGAACAGTAAAGCTCTAATACAGTACAAACATTTTACCATTATGTTTGCCAATAATTAAGCAAACTGAGCATCATAAGAATGAGGTGAGATGTAAAATTACTGGAAAGTTTAATTCACTAGAAATGAGAAATTTTACATTTGTTATATTATCCTGTATTTGTGTACTACATTTTTCTGGCAGAATGACTCCTTGCTGAAAAAAAATGGCTTAAAGTAGGTGCTTTTTTAATGGTTTTGCAAATTCTGGAGAACAGGGACTGCTTCTTCCTAAACAAGATCCCCGGTCTTGCTATTAGTCTAGAATAGTGAATATATATTTAATAAATGCTTGTTGAGTGAACCAATATGTGAATGATTTTCTTAGTGGATTTCTATTAATTGAGGGAAAGGAGTTAACATGTCAATAAAAAAAGAACATTTTTACTTTCAAATAAGGAAGGCAATTTATTGTAGTGAAATTACATTGAAGTTTTATATATGACCCCCAATGCATATAAAATCATTTACCTCCACATTATAGGATAGGATATCATGAACTACAAAGATACTCAAAGTGCTATAGATGAGTTAATATTGATGTAATACATTTTCATTAATCTACCCACATTTAATTGGATGATTGAAAGGACACGTTGAAGTGTTTTTCATGATTTTTGCTACGGCCCCAGCTTTTACTGGAGTTTTTAATGCCTTTGATGACTCCAGACACTCAACTCTGTTCCTTGCAGTCTGTTTCTTTCTTCTATGGTGGTGATTAGTTATTGCAAGACTGCTTATATAGAGTAATATATAGTTTACTCTGGTATGGAGTAAACTTATACCAGAGATTTAAACATTTCTCCCTAAATGGAGTTTGTGGAAGATGTGAAAATTGGCATGACATTTGAGGCCACATTAAAAAAGCGAAGATAATTTTTAAACACTAACCAAGAGAAAAGTGCCCCAGGAAGCAAGGAACAGCAGTGTACTTCACTGCAAGTTCAAAACGTGTGCAGGGATTATTAGACATCCTTTGCACCTAACACCTTATCTATAATACATTTGATACATTTTTACATATTGCACAAATCCAGGTACACAGAGACTATCTGATGCGCCATGGCCATGGTGTAGCTATCCTCACTGAGGAGGGCTTTCCACAACTTTCTCAAGGAGCTTATTCAAGACCTTTTAAAAACAATCTACAGGCAGTTCTTTACAAGTCTCATATTTACAGATAGCACAAGCTATGGCATGGCGTATGGCCTCCCTCCTAAATATACGATTCTTTGGCATATTGGAATTGGTCAGCCTCAAAGACCGGCTGGCTACATCGTCGCACGAGACAGTCCCGCTTATTCCTCTGCACGGACTCGGAGACGGTCCTCAGCGGGAGGAGCTCAGGTCTCCCTGGGCCAGACACGTGCCCCAGAGAGTCCCCAGAAGCATGGACAGTTCTGCTCTGTTTCCATCGCTCAGGCAGGGGAGAGAGTCCGTGGCCAGGGAGTGGCTCTTTGCTGCCCCTGTGTCTTGAGTCCTCTACGTGGTGAGCAGGTGGAAGAGGGGGTAGGAGGCAGTGCGCCTCCAGCATCCTCGCCCTCATGCTCCCCACCGTCATGCTCCCCACGGTCTGGCTCTCGGAGGCCACTAGTCTGGCTGCCGGGCCCTGCATGGCCTCTTCATAAGAGGGTGGGCTTCCAGGCCTCTCCCAGTCAGCTCCCTGGAACACATCATCCACCGAGAGGGCGTGGGGTCTCAGGCAGAAGCCGCGGGCTGTTTGGTTGTGGGTTTCACACCCATTTTCCTGCACGATTCGGCCGGCAAGCTGGCTTTCCTTTCTGACACCCCTCGGGACGTGGTCCCTGGTAAAGTCTTGCGATTTCCCAGAGCCCGCGCTGAGGTTTTTGGTCAGCACTTTTTTGTGAGGGGCAAAGGTGAAAGACATGGAGTGCTTTTTAATTTCTCGGCTGGGCTTGCCTTTCTCTGTCTTTGTGGTGAAAGACTGATGTCTGCTGAAGAAATTTCTTTTGGGACTGGAAGGAGAAGCCACGGGCGAGCTGTCAGAGGACGCGTCCAGCGAGCTGCTGGAGAAGGCTTTGAGAACCAGTGCCCGCGGGAGCACCGAACCCGGGGCCAAGTTCTTGATCTTCAGGTCCACCGGCCTCTTGGTTTTGCCTTGCACTGCAGGGAAGACCTCCTCTGGAAATGGGTCTTCAGCCTCCTCACTTTCCAAACGAGAGCCTACCCGGGGCACGGGGAAGTCCCCTTCACTCTTTGTTAGTGTTTGGTTTGTCACCCGGCTCTCGAGGCACTCCTGGGAGGATGGCATGCTGGGCTCTGAGTATCTCCTATCGGGCTGTGCGAGGGAGCTTTTCAGCCTGGCCACGGTGCTCACAATGGGCTCTGGGCTGACCTCTCGGGCATCCTGTGGGCCCGCGCTATCCAAGCCAGCAGCTGTGGCCATGGGCACCTGGGGCTGCCTGCTGGGAGAGCTGATGCCACTGCTGCTGTTGGATTCCACATCAGGGTCGTTGCTGTCGTAGGCTGAGTCATTCTGCAGGGTCGACACATCTGGGGGAAGTCAAGCAGCAGTTGAACATTTGTTTGGGTTTATTTATTTATTTATTTTTATTTGTATTTTTTATTTTCATTTTTTGAGATGGAGTCTCGGTTTGTTGCCCAGGCTGGAGTGCAGTGATGTGATCTCGGCTCACTGCAACCTCTACCTCCCGGGTTCAAGTGATTCTCCTTCCTCAGCCTCAGTAGCTGGGATTACAGGTGCCCGCCACCATGCCTGGCTATTTTTTCTATTTTTAGTAGAGACGGGGTTTCACCATGTTGGCTAGGCTGTTTTTGAACTCCTGATCTCAGGTAATCTGCCTGCCTTGGCCTCCCAAAGTGCTGGGATTATAGGCGTGAGCCACCACACACGGCCATTTAGGTTCTTTTAGAAATGAACTTTGCTACAGTTCGCCCTGCTCATACCAATCAGGGCACTAGGTGATTTATTAGCAGAACTACTTAGGGGCTTGATATGACAAGAAATGTACCACATGAAAAGTTTATTTCTTTCTGAATTTATTTTGAGATCAGAAGAAAAATAGGGAAAGGAAATGAGTAAAGGAGGGAGGAAGGAGAGAAAGAGAGGAGAGAATAAGAAAAGAGAGAACAGCATTTCACTGAAAATGTATTGACCTTAATTTTTAAAACTGCTCCTTTTACTGGACCCATTTTCATTGTGATGGAGTCATATCCCATGAAGTGGAAACAAAAGTTTCTCACTCCAACTCCAGAGCTAAAGGTAGCTTAGTGAAATCAGCAGTGATTTGCGATGTACACTGGGAAGGGGGAAAGACTATCTGTGGTCTGAGGAGGCGCTGCAGGAAAAGCCCGGAGCAGGGTTTTCATGTTTAATGACTTCCTAATGGACTGGAGTCTAGTCTGACTCGGTGATTTGTGAAGGTAACTTCTGCCTCAAATATCAGAGATGCTTTACATGACTGGCAGACTGGCATGAACTTTTCCCTACAATCGTAATCAAATGATAGCACATTCCATACCTGAACTGTCAGTGTGCTCCAGGGAGTCATCAGAAGTGATACTGGAATGCACTGGAATGTTCTCCCCAAATATTTCAAAGCAGTTATCAATGAGGAATTCCACCAGTGTCTTCACCTGTGAGGAAAAGTAAGCAATTTGTCAGCTTGAAGACTTTTTTTTTTTTTTTTTTTTTTTGGAGGTGAGGAAGAATGGGGACACTGGAGTCAGGTGCCAAAATGAGAATCTGAGATCTTTATGTGTCTGAAAAGAGCATACAGAAATTTGGTAACAATCAGATACTTTTTTTTTTTTTTGAGACAGGCTTTCACTCTGTCACCAGGCTGGAGTGCAGTAGCCTGATCTCAGCTCACTGCAACCTCTGCCTCCCGGGCTCAAGCGATTCTCCCGCCTCAGCCTTCCGAGCAGCTGGGACTACGGGCGCCCGCCACCACGCCTGGCTAATTTTTTCTATTTTTAGTGGAGACGGGGTTTTGTCATGTTGCCCAGGCTGGTCTCAAACTCCTGAGCTCAGGCAATTCGCCTGCCTCGGCCTCCCAAAGTGCTGAGATTTCAGACGTGAGCCACCATGCCAACAATCACATACATTAAAGTTAGATACTCCTTGGTGTTTTGAGACATGCATTTTAAATTTAAGAACTTAAAAAAATTTAAAGTATTAATAAAATTTTCATTTAAGTAAGTAGTGTCCCAGATTGATAGACTGATAGACTGTGGTGTACAAAACACAAAAACAAAAGGGCTTTTTTATATCGGGAGAGAGTGATGTAAATACTCGCAGCACTCATCTGTCTCACAGATGACAGAAGACACGGATTTATTCAGTTTCATTAGATACATGTATCTGAGAGAGTGGAACTATGACAAAAGCATTTTGCATTTTATATTTTCACTGTGATTCTGAGTCAGTTGGAGACATTCTGAAGCATTTTATTGCCTGGACTTGGCAAACAGATGGTGAGATCATAAGTTGGGGATTTCTCATCAGTAAGCAGAACAAACCTTGTTGTTCAGGTCCTTCTGGGCTTCAAATGACAGGCTCTGGTCATTCTCCAGGGTGAGCATGTTGGGTCCAATGCAGATGGCCAGATTGCTGGAGTCCATCCTGTTCACCTCAGAGTTCTTGCTGATGAGGTGCAGCACATAGACCAAGTGCTTGAGTAGCAGGAGGTTGGGCCGGGGGAGCTTATCTGCAACCCTGGAATAAAGTGAAGGGATGTTAGTTTTCAAAAAGGCTAATGGTCTTCAGTGTAGCAAGCTGAGAGTTTCTGCCGAAACCAGACTTCCTTTAAAATGAGGAAGGTGCATTTTCACAAGTAATATTGTGAAATGCTCATTCAGACACTTCCAGTGGCAACTGACACAGAGTGAGACTGGTTAACCACAAGGTCTTGAGGAGCTAAGAAACTGGCCTTTGTAATTGGGACACCAATAACACAGCCCTTTATTATTTATACAGAGCTTAAATTATGAAGCCAATCTGCATTAAACACCATAGTTTGCCTTTATGTTTAGAAAATAGTTTTGTTGAGTAATCATTTAGTCATGTAGAATTTCTTTCTGTTTCTAACACGACTAGACTGGTTTTCTTGCCTTAAAACAAAGACGGAAACAAAACTATAATTACCAAACGAAGATGACACATTTTTACAACATTCTGAGAAAGCTTTATGAAGACTAAATCAGTTTCTAAGGGCATGTTCATATAAGGCGGCACTTAAATCGCAACATTGTTTCTAATGATAAGAAATTAGACTTCTTAAAGTCTCACTTTTTCAAAAACGAAATGGTGATTATTTTCATTTCTCAGAAGAAGGAATTGTTATAAAAATGCCTTATGTCTAGGTAGAAACTCATTGTGATAATCTTAGAATTTTCATTTTGGGACAGACATTTTAATGTCTTCAATTCTATACATATGTCATTGAAAGTATTTAGCCATGTGGGACAATTATAACATTTAGATAAACTTTCATAGGATGTGACAACCATGCTGACATTTCAAAGCTTGGGTTTTAGAATTCTCTAGTCACTAACAGATCACACTTTCCATTGCATATGTTATTATTTTTACTCTCACTGGAATGTGTTATTATATAGTTTTCATTTGGGTTAATTATAAGAAGATGAAATATGCTGTGAAGTTTTATGAACAAAACAACTGCCCCCCACCACACTGTCTGGCTGCATCCTGAGGGATGTTTTATGGGAGAACTGTTGCCTTGCATGACACCAGTCAGTGTAGCTTAAAGATAATCCCGAATTTCTACACTTTGCTGGTGAGCCTGTGTTAAAGTTCTCAGGTCTGATTTTATCTCATACCTTTTTGAACATCTTACATTTTCAGACTTCCCTACCTCTTGGGATTTGTGAGGATTGAAGTTCGCTTTCTACTTTTTGAAGAAATATTTCATTTGGCTAAAATTAAAATTCAAAAGTCCAGGGCACCCTCTGGTTTTTGTTCTGGGAGTGGACGAGCAATTCCACTCGGATTCCCTAAACATCACAATTCTCATGGAACAGGGATCATGAAGCATTTAGAAAGCTGTGTAAAGAATCAAAAGACGGAGGTGATGTGGCCTGGCAATGACCGATGACTTTGATGACTTACTGTTTCAGGGCCTCGATTCTGTCCTCCTCGTCCTGCATCTCCAGAGCACCCATCCACTCCTCAAAGAGGTCGCTTGAAAGTAGCTTCCGGGGGATACTTCTGAGGAAGTCCTGGGGGATGAGAGTGGGCTGTTGGCCTATTGGTACTGTATGATGTCCCATGTCCTTGTTTTCACCCGGTTTTCGTTCCATCGCAGGGTGCTCTATGCTTAGCCCATCATAGATTGTGGCCCTTCATTCCTGCATTTGATGAATCCAGGGAACCCTCTCTCCAACACCCTTGGCCTCTCTGCAACTTTCTAACATCAGGCAGAGTCAGAGGCACCATCCCCAGGTGGGTGTGTTCTGAGGGGCCACTGGATTTTGACGTATGGATTCTGCCACGGAACAATCAAATTGCCCGTACTTGGCAAAGTTTTGGGAGAGCAGAATGCATCACTTTCTGTTGGAATCTGAGGTCACAGAAACAGAGGTGCTTACTAAATAAATAAATAAAGGGCTTAATGAAAAAAATTAAACTCCAAGATCAGTGTACCTTGCTGTGTGGGGAGAAGAGCCTATTTCTTGCATCCTGAGAATGAGTGTGTCAGGGCCCCTTGGCAGGTTATTTGGCGCAAGTGTGTTGAACTCACCTTAAAGACCACAGCGAGGAGGTGCACGGGGAGCCTCTCCAGATCCACCGCATCCCCAGAGTTGAGCTCCTCCTTCAGCTCCTTACGGGCTTTCTCGTTGGCTGCTCTCCTGAATATCCCTTCCGTTGAAGGGCCTTTAAGGCATAGAATAGTGAGAATGTCCTAAAGGAAACAGCAATAGGAACAGGAAAGGGTTACCCTTCTTCTTTAGTATACTGAGATAGTCTTAACAGGAATATTGATGTCAGATTTTGCTTTCAGTCCAGTTGCTGTCAATGGCCTTCCTCAACCCTGCTATTTTTCTAAGAGGAGGCAAATTGTGAAAGCTCTAATTTTGCACTTTCTAAAATCACTTTGGAGCTCTCTCCTTTCAAATACTTCCATATGAACATTGGATTTCAGATCACAAAGTCTATATTCTGTTTCCCCCTTTTGACTTTTCAGAAGCTACAAATCTTCAGCATTCTCCACTCTGTGAAGTCAGAGGAATGGCGGGACCATAGCTCTGAGCTCATTGGCAAATACAACTAATTTCAATTTCTGGAATGGAAGCAGTCAGATATTCTTCTGACTGCACGCGTATGTGGGAGTGCCATGTTGAAGAGTGGAAAATATGGAAGATCAGTCCCTACAAACTTAATAGGAGAATGACATTCAGATTTCCCGAGTATTTTGCATGTCCAACTGAAAACTGAAGTAGGTTTATGAGAGAATGCACGCCTACCTGGATGGGTCTGGGGAGTGTGTCACTGTCACCGCAGATAATTGACAAGGGCTGATCAAATAGCGATGCTTTCAAGTCTGTCTCCAAAGCCCCAGAAAAATCTGATGCAGGGGAGAGCCTTCTCATGAGAAAGGGCCAGGACAGCACCTTCTTTCTCTTCTTAACTTCTACAGCCAAGAAAACAAGGCAACGAGAAAAATTAGACTACAGTGTTAAGAAGCAAAGATCCAGGTAAGAAAATGGGTATCGTTGGCCGCATAATGTGGTCAATAGTATGCGATGTGAGAAAAATAATTTTGAAAACTTGAGAAAGCAAAGGGCGTGAATCTTAATCTAGAAAAACCAACCGATAAACAACCACACTGTTACCAGGGCAACCAGTTCCCTAAACAGCAACACCAGAGTTCCTCAAGGCCTCCACCTTTCCTGTTTTCACTCTTTCCAGCTGTTTGCTACAGAAAATTAGCAAAACCTAACTGTGCTGATCATAAACAACCATCTTAACCTACTGGCCTGAATAACTATAGAGGAAATTTCTGATATGAAATAGATTATTTTGATTTCCTCCTTTAACTGGCGAAGAAAACGAAACTTAAAAGGTGAGGAAGTGACTTGCTGAATATCTTTTCGAAGGCACATAGCAGGGCTGGCTCCAACCCTTTGCAGCCACGCAGGCACTAAACAGCCACTAGAGGGAGCTAACACCATTTTTCCTTCCAGGTGACTGGTCACCTTGGGTTTTCCAGGTTGCTGCTTTAGGACAGAGGCAAATACGAATCGCTGCGGGAAGCCTTGAACCTAGATCTGGCAACTGGGAATTATCAGCAAAACGTTATCAAGATATTCTGTCCTTCTGAAATCCACAAGATGTGTGTGCAATGGATATTGCAATCTCAAACATTTCCTTCTTTCTTTTCTTTTCCTTCCTTCCTTCCTTCTCCTTTCTTACTAATTATAAAGGCTATATTTTCTAAATGCATTGGCATCTGTTTCTATACATTTCAGATTGGCAAGTGGAAGCATGATGAGAAAGAAGTGGCCTGTCTTTATGGTTCAGGAGAACTGGGTCAGGGTTACGCTATAATGAAATGCATTATGAAAAAAGTTGAGAGTGAATGGTGGGTCCTTTGGGATTTGAGATCAGCAACAGTTGCTTCATAGGCTCTTGGATGCATTCTCCATAAGAGAAGGAAGAAAATGGAAAAGACACTGTGTGTTTTTCAAATGTGTGCATGCTAATTGTCGAAACATACATGGCCAGGAGATTGAACCGCATTAAAAACGCTTGGCAGAACTGGGGATTCTCTATGGAGAGGCTCTTTCCTTTCCCAGCACTCCCTGCTCTAGTGAGTTGGAGCATACCTGCCATTTAAGGGTTAATGTTCTGCGGTCTTTAACAGAACAACTTATACAAAAAAATTCCTAGTAGAGTAAAAGCGCTGTGGTTTTGCAAACCAAGAGCACTGGTTGTTAGCACTTACATAAAAGATCGGTATGTTTTTAAAACTCACCAATGAGCTGGCAAATACTGTCTTCACTCTCACATGATGCCAACAGGGGATGTTCCTTGATATCACCCTAAAAACATTTTTATTTCAGTTAAATATAGTGACTGAAGAAACCTATCGAGTCTTTCCCCACAAAACACACATACAGCATTTTATTCATATTAAAAATGAAGTCAGTAGAGTGCATTGATGTTTTTTCTAGCTTCTAGAAGCAATATTAAGGTCTTGATTGTCATCATATAAGATCCTAATTAATGTGCTTAATTTACTACATGTGTGATGTTAGTTTACTACTCTTATAATTACTATTCAACCCAAATAATATTCAATTAAAACAAAGTTTTCCACCTTCTCACAGTACAGATAAAAAGTCTTAAAAATTGCTTTCTTACCTCTGATTGACATTCGATTAGTGTCTCCATATTATTGGCGTTTAGTGTTTTTGACTAAAAGAGAAAAAATAAAATTAGGTAAATATCTTTTGGCCCTTGCCTGTAGGAAACGTGAATGAATGAATGTGAGAGGGGCACTCACAGCATTGTGGCTGCTTCTCAGCTTCATCAGTATTGCGGCTGACTGTCCAGGGGTGGATTTCACTCCCGTGTGGCTGTGCCTCTGTCTACAACGAATCACATGGAAAGGAGTTAGGAGGGACTCACACAGTAGGCCACTTTCAGCGCCACTTTGCCAAAGCACAGAGTTTGAAACTATTTATTTATTTTTCTCTTTTGCTATTTTTTCACTTGCCTTTACTTTGGAAAAAACTATTACATAGACAAGTTTTCATTTAAAATCAGTTCTGTTACCAGATGTTGTATGTTGTTAAGAGCAGCATCTGAACACAATTATTTCTAAATTATTTAAGTCAACTATCTTTACCACTCTAAACGTTGTTACCAATTTATTCCGTTCCATCAAGAGATAATCTGGATATCAATTACGTTAACATTTTAAATTAACATGAACATTAACTTTTTTGGTGGAGTGCTGACTATATGCCAGCTGTCGTAGTAGGTGCTTTGCATGGATTTTCTCATCTAATCCAAAAAGGAAAAAAAAAAAAACATATCCCTAGGATGCTAAAATAGTAAACATGAAACAAAGATAACATTTACAGAACTCCTACACCAAAAAGGTGCAGCCTTCACGTTGAAGCAAAGCTTTGTCCTGAGACTTTATAAAGTGAGAGCATATTCCACGGGATAGCTGTTTTCTGTTGCCTGTGATCTGAGTGACCTGTGACTTGCGAGGCAGCTTGTAATTTCTAGGCATGTTAATATATAGTGTACTTACCCTTGGAGGGTCTCTAGCCAGAGTTCTTTTACATCCGGTGAGCTGTAAAGAATGGGAGAAACAGCATAACTCTCTGCTCCTTCTAGTCCACTGGGAGAGAGAGAGACCGAGCCGGTCTCCCTTCACATGCTCTGCATTATAAGCGAAGGGGCGGGCAGGTGGAAATTCAGAATATTACAGAGACCGGAAAGAACATCATGGGCTGTCACACGGACGGAGCCAGCCAGACACTGGAGAGCTCTCGCTTCCTCATTCCTTTTAGGGCAGCTATGTCTTTTTTTTTTTTTTTTTTTTTTTTTTTTTTTGTGTCTTCCACTTCAAAGTAAAAAATCTGTAAACTACTAGGAGTGGAAAACATGACATTCAGCCCATAGGTGAAGGCTCTGATTAATGTCATAGGTGGGATGTGTGAACAAGAAATTGTGTTATTCTGTGCATAAACATCACTTTATTTTCTAAAGTGGTAATTTCAAGTGCCTCTTTTTGCATCCTGTTTGGGTGCTCTTTCCCCTCCCACGTGCCATCTGCTCTGTCCACCAGCACCACACGTTGATTAGCACCCCTGGATGTGGGACACTGTTACAGAACCAGAAAGAAACCCAAGACAGTCCCTTCCTTGAGGAACAATCACCGTCCAAAGCCAGGTTAGTTTCCTTTGGAAGTAGAAAGAAAACTCCCTCGAGTCAGTTGTCAATATAGTAACCCCCTCCTCCTTTCTGTAACTCCTGGTCAAAAGTATTGATACTTAATTTACAGTCAGAGCAGCTGTCGTTCTGACACGGAAGGAAAACAAACAAAAAAATTCCTTTGATCAGACCAACTTAAAGTAGGAAAGAGATGGTGAATTTCATTTGTGGATCACTCTTCTGCATAAGAGAATTTCTGATCTTTTCTGTAGATCAAGGGCTATATATGAAACCACTCAAATGCCTCGACACGAGAATGGATGCATAAATTGTGATCCATTCACATAGGGAATGAATGTTGTATAGCACTGATAATGAACAGCCTATGACTATAGCCAACAATATGGTTGGATCTCATAATATGACGCTGAGCAAAAGAAGCCAGACGTGAAAGTGTATATCCTGCCGGCTCCCATTAATGCAAAGCACAAAATTAGCAAAAGTCGTCTGTGCTGTTGGAAGCAAGAGTAGCAGTTTCCCAGAGGGGATGGTAATGACTTCCAGGGGCCAGCGGGGGGCTTGGTGATGGTCCATTCTTGATCTGGGTGGTGCTAGGCTTATGTGCACACTTCCCTATTTATGTAATTTTTCAATAAAAAGTTTTAAAATAACTTGGCTTCATTTATCATCAGCATCTTTAATTTTAAGACTTTTCCGCATTGTCAGTTCTTTTGTCATTTTACTGAAAGGAGGTGATTATGGGGCAGACTTTGGGAAACCGAAGCACAGAGAGGTCGAAATTTGCTCTGTAACTTAGCGGCTCGGTGGGGACCTAGGGACAGATCCTGGTTTTCAGGCTTCCAGCTGGGGGCTCCCTCTCTGAAAGCCACCACAGTGCCAGAGTTCACCCAGTGTTCCCAGGGCAGCTGTAGAGGCCACCACTCTTTCAGCATCCCTCTCCTGCCTTTATAAACCTCCAAAGTGAACTCACTGATTTTTTTAATTGAAAAAGGGCATTTACGCTGTGCCCAGCCTAGTGCTAGGCATATAGTAGGTACTAAATAACTAATTTCTGAATATATACATTTCCTTATAAAATAGCCAAAATAGAATATTACTATAATGTTCTATATATCATAGAATATATATGTGATGTATATTCATTGCTAGTATGTATTTTCTAAACTTTTTTTTTTCCCGACAAACGGACTTTTCAAATTTTTGTAAGAAACTTAATGTACTTACTGTTCTTTCTTTTTTTTTTTTTTTGAGATGGAGTTTCGCTCTTGTCACCCAGGCTGGAGTGCAATGGCGTGATCTCGGCTCACTGCAACCTCTGCCTCCTGGGTTCAAGTGATTCTCCTGTCTCAACCTCCTGAGTAGTTGGAATTACAGGCACGCGCCACCATACCTGGCTAATTTTTGTATTTTTAGTAGAGATGGGGTTTCGCCATGTTGGCCAGGCTGGTCTGGAAATCCTGACCTCAGGTGATCCACCCATCTTGGCCTCCCAAAGTGCTGGGATTACAGATGTGAGCCACTGTGCCCAGCCTCAGCATCTTTTAAAAATACATAACATGAATGGTTTGATGACCTGCAGAAATGGTTACATCGACGGACTTTTCTTTTTCTTCTGGGACCTACCATGCCTAGTTAAGCACCCAGGGAACTATCTAGGATGAAAAGTTAGTAGCAAATACGGCAACAGAATTAGGGCCCCTCCATTTTTTGAAACAGAAATATGTTTTGGCTCTTCTTATTGACACAACTGATGGTGGGAAAGCCCAGAGGGAGGTGCCATCCTTTGGGGTCCCTGGGAGATTTTGACAGTCAACATCTAATGAATAGGTACATTTTGTGACTGAAGGAAAGCCACCATTGTTGGCTGGTGCTGCTGGGGGACTGAGGAGACGTTCTCCTTTATGACTGTGGCCCCGCCTGCATATGGCGCCTACTGTGGAAAGAGAAAGAGTTGTGAAGGGCAGGTGCTGCACCCTCAACTCTGAAAATCTCACAGTAATTTTGATCGCAGTTTTCCGAGCACTAGGAGAAACATTTATAAATAAAGTGTAAAATTTGGAAGCAGTCATGCCAAAAGTTAGAAAAAAAGATGGAAATGTCAGATTCACTTTTTCCATATTCTTGTCTCCCACACATCTCTTTGAAAAGCAAGCTCTCATCGTCCTGCATAGTAAGAGTCTTCAGAACGTGGAAAGGAACTTCAGTGGCTTTTGCTGGGTTGGGCTGAAGGAAACCCCGGTGAAACCCACACCTGTAAAGATGCTTCTCACAGTGGGACTTTTATCGCTTGGGTCCTGGTCACAATCAATTTTTCTGCAAATAATTGGCTTTGCTTTTCTTGTGGTG
Organism: Homo sapiens; assembly: GCF_000001405.40. Classification (NCBI taxonomy): domain Eukaryota; kingdom Metazoa; phylum Chordata; class Mammalia; order Primates; family Hominidae; genus Homo; species Homo sapiens. Next base: position 159,047,872 of record NC_000006.12, read on the forward strand.
AGTCTCTAAGGACAGTGAGTTCCGTTCTGGGGACTGTGAGTTCTATGCTGTGTACATGTGTGCTTTGGAGGGTGACTGGAAGCACCATCGTTCCTTCCCATACTTTCAGGCTCAGTTACCGCTTCAGTCTGGACTGTTGTGAACGAGAATATGGAAGTCATTTTCCCCACATTGTTTACCCAGCTTGCCTGGGAAACACCAACTGGAGGATTAGAGTCCGGCTCTTCAGTTTGAACTCACTTTCCCTTTCTCTTCCTGGGACCACCCAGTGATTCAGAGCCCTGCATTCTGTAATGAGATTAATGTCAACAGTTTCCTGCATTGAAGATTATTTTCCCAAAGAGTTCACGATTTCCTTCAGGACTTCTCCATCACCCCAGTGTCTGGCTACCTAATGACTGATTAACAGGTTGATTTTCTAGAAAACTCAAATTACAATTTCTTTTTTTTAAAAAAGGGCAATCCAGCCTTTTCTCTGATTATCCGTCCTCCCCATCTCCCACTTGTCCTATGTTTTAGCCACACAGGCTGTTGTCATCCCCTAAAAGTGTGCTTCTGAGTCTCCAGGCCTTTGATAAATTGTTCCCTCCTCCTGAAATGCCATTCACGCCATCTGCCTTTTGGAATTCTGCCCTTCCCTCGGAATCTAGCCCAAGTCCTATCTCCTCTAAGAAGGGACTTTTCTAGATTGAATTAAATTTCCTTCCCTGGCCCTGCATAGTGGCCGCACCCAGTAGACTGTGAGTCTACTTTTTTCATCTTTTATTCTTACAAGTGCCTGGCCTCATATTTTGCACACAGTAGGCATTTGCTATACTTTAATTACTAGTAAAATTGAGTGATAAAATAAAACATTTAAATCTCACCATACGTTTGCTGGTATTGCAATTTGTTACTCAGACTTTTTGTCACTTAGCCTTTGACTGTTTCGTTTCATGGAGAAAGACTACCTCTTTGTCACGCTGTAACAGAGACCATCGTTGCAGAATTTGATTGAGCTGGAGACAGCCTCTCCTTGCACACACCGCGGGCTTATGTCGATACCAATGTTGTGGGATTAGACACATGGACTCTCTAGCTCTGTGGTGAGGAAGGAGGCCTCGCCTTAGGTGGACTTGAGTGTCAGCTTCTGTCAGTGAATCTGTCAGGAGGGCGTGACCACACCTGTCCAGCCTCTCACCTCCCACCCTCCAAGGACCAAAGCCTTACCAGTGTTCTCACCTTAGACTCCCTAGTTCTGTGTGCTCTGGGAGGTGTGGACGTCCCCAGAGCCATGCTCCTCACTGTCTGGTGGCAGAGGAGGACTTAGCATAAAGGACTCCGGGGGCTGGGAAGTTGGTGCTCACTTTGAATGACGGTCTTGGATTCACTAATCTGCAAAGTACCCAACCTGCAGAATCTTTTATGCGGTGACTTTGGTTATAGCGAATTAGCAATAAAACTCCTTGCCTGCCTCTCCTCTAAGAAACTTCTAGGAAAGTCTGTGGGTGGGGAAGATATGCCTGGAAGAGACGTTCTCACCTCTCTGCAGGCCCCGGGCTCACAGATACAGGCAAGGACTCAGTCTCGGCTACGGTAAATACAGTTCAGTCCTTTAAGGTCATTTTTTAATTTTTGTTTTTTTTCCTGGCAGGAGAAGGGCTGCCTTCCAGGGAACTTCTCAGAGGTTTGCTGGGACCCTGGCATCCCTGAAATAATGTCAAGCATCATTTCATCTTGCAAAATAATTTGCTGTCTCCACAAATGGCTGCATTTCTGCAGTAGTGGAAGCAGACATTTCAAATTTGCCCCCTCAGATATTTGCAATTATGAATTTATCTTTGTGTTGGAATACAAAATAGGCTCAGCATAAAATAATATTTGAAGAACGCTGTGTTTTCAAAAGCTGGCTTGAAAACTAAGAAAGGCTCAAACAAAATGTTCTTTTTAAACTGGCTTCTCCACTTATTGTGATCAAGATGAAGAATTAAAAATAAGACATCCTGAGATTAGGTGATTAGAAGCTGTATGGCTGATGACACAAACTGCTATGGGACCCAGGCAGGGCCTCAGCTTAGCCGCGCTTATCACTGCTATGGGACCCAGGCAGGGCCTCACCTTAGCTGCGTTATCACTGCTATGGGACCCAGGCAGGGCTTCATCTTAGCTACATTATCAGTGCTGTAGGACCCAGGTAGGGCTTCAGCTTAGCTGTGTTTATCACTTTAAGAACTAAAGAATGTGGCTGGGCGCGGTGGCTCACGCCTGTAATCCCAGCACTTTGGGAGGCCGAGGTGGGCAGATCACGAGGTCTGGAGTTCAAGACCATTCTGGCCAACATGGTGAAACACTGTCCCTACTAAAAATACAAAAAATGATCTGGGCATGGTGGCACACGCCTGTAGTCCCAGCTACTCAGGAGGCTGAGGCAGGTGAATCACTTGAACCCGGGAGGCGGAGGTTGCAGTGAGCCCAGATCTCACCACTGCACTCCAGCCTGGCAACAGAGCGAGACTCCGTTTCCAAAAAAAAATAAAAAATAAAAACAAAAAAACTAAAGAATCTTTTCTTTCTGTTGATATTTTGGCCTGAAAAATTGCACAAGGCAAACATGATGTCAAAAAAGGCATGTCAGCAGCCCTGAACATCAGTTAACTACAATATGATTTGGTAGGTTATTTTTTTGAAGAAACAAAGAGAAAACTATGAAAGCTGAGGTTCTTTGTTAGCAGTCTACAAAATTCATGTGCAGCATTTGTAAAAATCTGAACCAAAAAAGTAGAAATGGTGGAAAAATGTTTAGTTTGCCCCATGCTTTTAAAATGCCTTTTAAAGATATATTTACTGTAGTTGACTTTGGTTTTTTTACTGAGCACTTTTTTTCATTTGTCATATGAAAAAAATTATCCAGGGCTTTTACCTCCCTGTGTAAATTTTAAAAAAGAAAAGTATTTGTTATTTTGAATGTGTGTGGTCCCCTTCTCAAATATGTGCCTTATTTGGTGTCTCCTAAGAAAATCTTTCAGTGATGCCCTCCCAAGCGGCCCCTGCTCCTCGGGGTTGGGGAGCGTGGCCACTAGGCACGCAGCTCCTGCCAGGGGAAGCAGTAAGGGGGTCTCCAACCTGAAGACAAACTCTCACCTGGCCGGAGCGGGCTTGCCAGTGCTCAGGGCACTGTGCTCATTGGTGGCTTCACATCTGATTTTCACCTTTTCACCCAGGTTCAGCTAGCAACCATTTAGCAAGTCCTAACCCTTTGTGGCTGGGTCTGTGGAGTGCTTTCTTTTCCTGGCAATTGTAGCCTTCCTGATGGACTAGTCCAGACTGGTTCTGATTTAGACTCTAGGACCAGTCCGGGGGAAGGGTTTAAAGCTAGTGTCATCTTCTGTGTGAAAAGACTTTGGGCAGAGGGGCAAGGGAAAGCCACGTAATTTTTGCAAACCTGATGCTGCCTCCTGGGCTTTTCTTACAGAAAAAAGAATCATAAGATTTCTCCTTCTGTTTTTGGGTCATAAAACATTATGTAACACACTAGAAAGCATTATATATATATATATATATATATATATATATATATATATATATATATATATATTTTTTTTTTTGAGATGGAGTCTCACTTTGTTGCCCATGCTGGAGTGCAGTGGTGTGATCTTGGCTCACTGCAACCTCTGCCTCCTGGTTCAAGCAATTCTCTGCCTTAGCCTCCCGAGTAGCTGGGATTACAGGCACCCGCCACCACACCCAGCTAATTTTTGTATTTTTAGTAGAGACGAGGTTTCACCATCTTGGCCAGGCTAGTCTTGAACTCCTGACCTCGTGATCCACCTGCTTCGGCCTCCCAAAGTGCTGAGATTATGGGCGTGAGCCACCGCGCCCAGCCATGATACATATTTAAAAAAATTTCCATATCTTTCCTAAGTTTGCATATGTTAACTGGAAAACTGAGCCCAGAAGCCCTTTCTCTGAGTTGTAGCCTTTGTGAGATCTTCCATAAATCTCAAACAGCAACCATTTCTCAAATGTGCAGTGCAGTGCTGCTCCAAGTTGATCGCGTATCAGAATCACCTGGAGGTTCATTCAAACCTAGACTGTGGCCTCCACCTTGGAGCGTCTGATTCGGCAGGTCTGGGGAGAGGCCTGAAAATGTGCATTTGTAATGAGTACCCAGTGACGCTGATGCAGCTGGTCTGAGGGCCACACTCTGAAGGATGGCTGTGGAAGCACAGTAAGACCTCATTTAATGTCATCCATAGATTCTTGGAAACTGTGACTCTAAGCAAATCAACGTATAATGAAAACAATTTTCCCATAGGCTAACTGATGATGTAAACAAGAGTCAAGTTCCTGTGGCATATTTCTGGTCACAAAAGGATCACTGAACTTTTCAGTAAAGACCCATAACACTTCAAATATTAAACATTGAAATAAGTGTGAGCTATACGTACATTTAGGAAAGATGAATAAAAACAAAGAGGTTCATTATTTACCTGCTCATTCCAGTTCAGGGTCTGGGGTGACAAGAGACCATCCTGGCGGCTCAGCTGCCACCCCATCGCAGGGCACACTCACACACACACCTAAGCTCACTCAACCTGGGACCACATAGACACGCCAGTTCACCGAATGGCACAGCTTTGGGATGTGGGAGGAAACCAGAGGACCCAGAGGAGACCCATGTGGATGTTGGGAGAGCATGGAAATTCCACACTGAGAGTGGCCGTAGCCGGGAAGAAATTGTTTTTCTTCATCCACGTGATAATGAAATGACATTGAACAAAATGATGTTATTTGAGGGCCTGCTGTATCATGAAAAAGTAAAAAGTAAAATGTATTTAATATATTCCTGCTTCCTGGCTTTGGAGTAGTTTATTTAACGGCATTTTTATAATCACTAGGTTATTCCATGATTCCTTGCTAGCTTTCACGTTCTATCTTGCCCCTTGAAATTAGAGTGCAGGTCCTTAAATTGAAGCAATTCATTCTTACACCCCAAGACAAGCCTGGGGTGCACAGTATGAAGTACACAAATATCCATTTTTAAGAATGAGTAAAACAGGTGCCCAGCCTGAAGCTGTACTTCTGCTTTTTTGGATATTTGGACACATTTCTTCTTCTGATTGCTATGCTCAACCATGTTTTCCCAGACAAAAGCTGAGGGCTACTCCAAAGGAATCGTTTACACTTTTATGTTGAGACTAAGCCCTAGACCTTTCACCAGGTGGCTAAACAGAAGAGAGAAGGCATCTACTGCTTGGCTCACTTAGAGCCCCGAGATCTAACTCAACAGAGGCTTTGCTAATTTTACTTAATTTTTTCAAATAAATGTGGTATTTCCCTATTGGCGACTCACTTTCAATGGCCTGGGTTAAGGAAGCCAAATAGACCACCAGGTGCACAAACTTGTCTTGAACCTAAGAGCCAGCTGTATGTCCACGGGGCGTCTGTTTTTTGTGAGAGAGCTCAGCTCTCCACAAATGCCCCTTGGAAGATCCCTAAACACTTGAAGGTGAGCTTCCTTGACCACCACCTGCAAGAACACTCGGGGTGTGTGTGTGTGTGTGTGTGTGTGTGTGTGTAACATTATCCTTTCATGATGCATGTTTACCATGTACAAATGACCAGGTCGACAGAGTAAATAAGGCGTTAGTTGAATCTCTCTGACAATTGAGAAAAGGCAGTTTAAAGTTTAAATATCAGTCCTTCTCAAACTTGGCTGCACGTGAGAATCCCCTGGGAAGCTTTTTAAGAATAATCAATGCCCACACCTAATCTTTGACCAATAAAATGGAAATTTCTGAAGACGGGATTTCAGGATTAAAAAAAATTCTCCAGAGAATTCCAACATGCAGCTTAACCAGTGATCTCAGCCACAGTTTTTGGGGTCAACTGATCTGTCAGTTTTATAATGGGATCCTTTTCCACTGTAACCACAGGCACCAGGCAATCTTAGAAGCAGCAGGTACCTTGTCCGCCTGGGTGGGAAGCTGAGCCTCAGCGTCCCTCCATTGAGCAGCGTCGTCTCAGGAGCACTATTTCCCTAACTTACCCCTTCTCACCCACAAAGTGAGAGAGCTGAGGTGACTTAGAATCTGCTGCAGTCTTGTGGTTAATGAAATGTGGCCATAATTCTTTGAGGCGGCTTCTATCAAGACACGGAGTCTACTTCCCCACTTTATATGAGGCTGCCCTCATGACTTGTAGAATGCAGAAAAAAGGATACTGTGCTCCAATGGCCTCAAAGTTTCCACCTTTGCCCTCTTGAATGCAGCCCTGAGATAGCCATGTGAGGAAGCCATACAAGCTTCCTGGAGGATGAGAGACCACGTGGAGGAGAGACAAGGTGCCCAGCCCACAGCCAACACCAACTCTCAGACGTGTGTGTAAGGCCGTCTTGGGCGATCCTGAATGTCATCTAAGTGAGACCGTGTGAAACCAACAGTAGAACTGCCCAGCCAACCCGTAGAATCCTGCTAAATCAGAAATTGATGCTGTTTTAGGAGACTGAGTTTTTGGTGGTTATTATTCAGCAATAGGTGCCTGAAACAAATAGTGACTCCATAAATTGTTACCATGACTTTTGCACATGCACCCCCAGGGTAACATTGCAATGCATTGCAAATGCAACTTTAAAAAGCACTGATTTAGCCTCGTTCTCGGTGGAAGCAATCCAGCTTTATTTTAAAGCATCTTAGTGAGCTACTGATACAGTATTTCTCACAGTGAGCCCATGATGCATTTTTTAGTGTGTTTAAGATAATAAAGTTTAAATAGACCAGAGAGATGTAAAATAAAAATCAATCAGTGGTGGATGTTAAAAAAATCTGTGCTTATGGATACAAATGACATACAAGGGAATTTTCAGGATGCAAAACTAAAGGGTGGAGTATCCAGAACTTTGGGTAGAACTTTCAGAAATTCCAAAGAAAGACTGACATTCTTTGGGTACTCGAAAAGTTGAACTGAGATGCTTCTGGAAACTTAATTTCATTATTATTTGTACTCAGTCAATAAATACTTTTTGAGTCCCCACAAGGTGCATGGAGCTTTACTGGGTATTGAGTTGGAAAATGGACATGGCTCCCAAACTCAAGGTGTGTTTCACGTTCCTATCTCATCCTTTCAGTTTTCCAAGTTATTAGCTGCTGTCAACAGGCATTTCTCAATCCTAACAGTTGGGATTCACATTTAGTTCTTCTGGAAATGATCGTGGTTCTTCAGTGCAAAGAGGGAGCCAAGGTTCCCAGGAGGATGCTGTGGAGCGTGTGTTGGGCTGTGACCAGGAAGGGCCCTGTCACACCGTTCAGAACGGAGTCAGGAGGGGTGGCGCGTTTCATTTGACAGTGTAGACAAGGGGCTTCTACTGGGCAACAGCCATGTGATTCAGCGATCTAGAATTAATTCAGGGAGGAGGCTTTGCCTTGTGACTAGCCACTCCAACTTTTATCAGTTCCTCATATTATACACACACACACACACACACACACACACACACACGCACACACACGTCTGCTGGGGCTGCCACAACAAAATACCACAGACTGGATGGCTTAAACAATAGGAATGTGTTCCTTCCAGTCCTGGGGTCTAGGAGTGACCAAGGTGTGGGCAGGGTTGCTTTCTCCGAGGCCTCTCTCCTCGGCTTGCAGATGGCCATCCTCACTGCACCCCGCCTTAGTCTTCCCTCCGTGTGCACATTCCTGGGGTCTCTCGTGACCACATTCCCTCTTATAGGGGCGCCAGTCGGACTGGAGTAGGACACACTCTAACTGCCTCACCTTAACTTCACCACCTCTTTAAGAGCCTCCCTCCAAACACAGTCACATTTGGAGGTGCTGAGGGCTAGGGCTTCCACACAGGAATTTTGGGGAGACACAATTCAGCTTATAAATATACATATGTATATATGAATACACATATAGGTGTACATATATATACTTTTAAGTTGACCAGAAATATGCCTGCCTTTGTTTCTCTGTCAGGGGGTTGGTATCAGTTCTCTGCCTTGTGGACCACCCTACGATGTGACAGATACAGACAAAGGGAAGGGGCAGGAGGGTGGTTTGAAAGCAATAGACACTCAAGTCAGACTCAAGTCAGAATCGCTGAAGGCAGAGACCAGGAAAGCTCCAGGAAGTCTGGAGCTGGCAGTAGTGACAGAAACTCAAATCTTTGCTTCCAGGGACCACACAAAGCTGTGGGCCAGCCCCACAGCATCAGGAGGGCATCAGTTTGCACACTTCTGAGCAACTTAAGTAGGACAAAAACCTCACCTTCTCGAGTGTGATTGCTCAAGTTCCTATTCAGAAATAATTGTCAAAGAGGAAATTACATTTTTTTTGGCGGCTCTTTTCCTTCTTCTCATTTTTAAACTCTCTAGACTGTGATAGGCAGATAGGAGTTTTGCTTCCTTAAATAAAAGCCACTTAGTTCCTGTTTTCTGTCATTGGAGGCATTTCAAATAAAAAGCCAGGTTATCAGATAGACATGAAAAACCTACTTCCTAACTGAAGGGGAATTCTGCAGATAACTACGGCATCTGAGAATAGGGATTGAGGATGTCTGCATGAAGTCCAAAAACATGTATTCATTTACAAACTCAACAGATTGTTTTCTAGGATTTACTCACTACTCATGTCCGAGGAGCCTTTTTCCAAATAAGTCTGACAAAGACCTTTGCTCAGCTTTTATGGGAGAAGCTTTTGAAGCCAGCCAGAGGGGAGACTTCCCACAGCCTTCCCCAGGAAGGGCTGGAGCCATCACAGCAGGAGGTGAAGTGCTCCTGATGGCCATGGATGAGAGAAGACAGGGTTTTAAAAAGGAAATATGAAAAGCCTAACCCAGGAACAAACAGGGAGACAATGTTAACATCGAAGTCCTGAAAGTGGAATTGTCAGCAAAAATGGCCAGATGAAAACATCAGATCCTGAAGACTCTGCATCCCATGGGCAGAAGTCAACATGAGGAGACTGGGGGATGCTGCCTAGGTTCCCAGAGAGTCCTGAGTGGGACAGCTTCCTGCAGGTTTTCAGCCCTATAGTTAGTCTGCCTTTCTGCACACTTTTGTTTGTTTGTTGTGTTTTGATCATGATGGGATTGAAAGCTTTAAAGAAGGCAGATTCCAAGAGCTTGCGCGAATTTCTGCAATGGTCCCTGGATGCCAAGATTTATACATTTTACTCAGAGCTCATTAAATTAGTAAAATATGTAAACATTTCCTGTACTGCTTTTTCTCAACAGGGAAACCACTTTTTCCCCTGAAAGAGAGCCGTGTCTGAGACACACAATCACACAGGAGCCTGAGTTTCTTCTGTGGTGATGAAGGGACCTGCTTGGCGTGAGTGTGACTGTCTAAGAGCAGAGGGTCCTCAGATGTCTTTCTGGGAGCCCTGCCTGGTGTCCCTCAGCTGGTCTGCAGTGTTCTGCGGCGAAACACAAGCATGGCAGTCTCTTCCCAATCCACAGACCAATTTAACTTGGTAGAGAAAACTTGCTTAGTTTTACATTTTCTCCCCATATTTACAACAAATTTGCAACTCACATTTGTCTATGTTGGAATCTACTCCATGGTACTATTTGCTCTGGCATAAAGTTGCCAAGTTATTTTACAGCGAACGTGTTAAACTTTCATAGTGATCAAAAAAACTTTCCTGTGACTTTCAGACACTCTGGTCCTTGAACAAGGGTGTCCCCTGCAGTGGTCTGCTTGACTGTCCTTCCATGAGGGCAGGGGCTGTGTCCTGTTAATGTTGACATCTTCTCCGTAGGACTCGCATATAGTTGGCATTCAGTAAAGGCTCATGGACTAGATGAATTCTGGTAGGGTCCATCTTTGAGCATGAAGCATGTGTGGCTCTGGCTCTGCAGCTGGCGGTGACGAAATGTCATTAAAGGGCAGGGGATCCATGAGCCCCAAGAGTCAGAAGGGAGGAGGAGGCAGAGTTACCTTCTGGTTTCTGGGACTTTATGTACCAGGCTCTACCCAGATGCGGAGGGAGGACGTATTTCCTCTGTGGTAGTGAGTATGGTTTTGCCTGTGGTCCATTTTGGAAGTCATACTTCCATTTTGGAACTCTATCCTAGCTGCCCTTGGTAGAGGAATTTCTTAAAAACTTTTACAAAAGCCCAGGAAAAGACCCCGAATGATGGGAAAAGGTGGCCACAGAACCAGGACAATGGCTGGTTCCCCAGAGTTTCTCTCTTTTTCTTTGATGGCCACAAGAATACAGAGAAACCCTTTGTCCAAAGCCAGGAAGGAGGTTCCTCACTCTGAGTGGTGGTGAAAAGTGAATCTCTCCTTAAGGAACAGAAAGTGATGGACCTGGTGATAGTTGACTAGTTGGATGCGGGTTATATAAAGACTTATGAGTCAAATTTTTTTCGTATCTTCCTCAGAGCTGTATATTTCACATAGTAAAAAGTATAACTATGTTTTTCTTTCTTTTTTTTTTTTGACAGAGTCTCGCTCTGTCGCCAGGCTGGAGTGCAGTGGCACAATCTTGGCTCACTACAACCTCTGCCTCCCGGGTTCAAGTGATTCTCCTTCCTCAGCCTCCTATAGCTGGGACTACAGGCACGCACCACCACGCCTGGCTAATTTTTTGTATGTTTAGTAGAGATGGCGTTTCACCAGGTTGACCAGGATGGTCTCGATCTCTTGACCTCGTGATCTGCCTGCCTCGGCCTCCCAAAGTGCTGGGATTACCGGCGTAAGCCACCATGCCTGGCCAACTATTTTTCTCTTAATGGAAAGAAAATTATTCCCAGTAAGAATTGATTTTCCTTTCTGCACCCTCGAAGACCTCTGCATCCTTTTTAGAGCTTGGATATTGGGGTGGTTGTGTCCAAGGATACTACTCAGTGAATCTGGAACATGAGAATCACCTGGGGGAGCTCCCAGTGATCCTAAGGCCTGTGTTGGACCCCGTCCAATTGCTTCAGAATCTTTGATTCAGGCATCAGTATTTTAAAAGTTTGTCAAAGGGTTCCAAAGTGAAGACAATACTGGGAACCACTGCCTGGAGTCCACTATAGTCCTCAAATGCAAAGGTTTCGATTTTTAAAAAATGTTCAAAGGTTTCTTTTACTTGGAAAAAGTGTACTTTAAAAAATAATCTCATAACTCAAAAGTTACCAAAGGGATTTTTCCCCTTAAACTTTCCATTAATAAAAAACAAAGCAAACTTATACTGAAAACAATTATGAGAAAATTCAGCCCAAAGTAGAAATTTCCAGAAAGTTATGGGCAAGTGAAAAAAAAAGGCAAAAACTATCACTGAAAGAAAAAATGCTTTTTACAGGAATTTCATTTTAAATTCATTTGCAATGAATGTCTAATTTCAAAGGTGGATAAACAGCATTTGCCAAAAGTCCCACCTCTGGTGGTGCTAAGAAGCTCTGTGTCGAGTGATGGAAATGCCCACAACAGAGTTAACTCAGTCTGACTCAATGTGGGTTTTAAAAAAAGAAATTAACAAATTTTAACAGTAAGAGCACAAGTGGGCGACAAAATGACTAGCAACAAAATGACTGGTTGAAAAGGATTATCTTGCCAGCCAGGATGGATGGTTCATTTTGCAAACACAACTTTTCTAAATACCATGTCAGCCTTATCTTTTGGTGGCAAAAGAAATGCGTGTTTCCAATTAGTTAGATAATAATACTACACTCTGCAAGGCTCTAGACTACTCTGCAAAGAGCAGAAAAAGTGGATGTAATACATCAGTTATTGACATGGCACAACTGCACCAAGTAATTGTTAACTCTTTGCATTGTATTAATCTGGCACAAGACATTGAGTTCACTGATTTTTGTGACATCAGCTTCCCATTAGCTGCAGGACAAGTAGAAATTCCTCGGGCTGATGTTTAAGCCCTTCCATGATGAGGTCACACTGTGCTTTTCCATCCCTGTACCCCTCTGGTGCCTTTTTTTGGGCCAGTCTTCCTAAAATTTTTCTAGTGAAGAGACACAATGACAAATGAGAGTCTAAGAGAGTCTCCCAAGCCCTCTGTTTTCCCCTCTCTACCATTATTGGGGTCTTCCCCTAGGTCAGACTCTCTGTTACACATTTTACAAATTGATCTTCTTTGTGCCTAACCGTAAACCTGAGAAGTGGGAATTATTATTCTCTTTTTACTTACGATCCCGTGTCACTGCTGAAGTCTCCTTCTTACTATACCAGGGTTTGTCTTCATAATAAAGAGAGTACTTTTTCACTCTCAAATCACCAAAGTTGAGGTGCAGGGAGATGCTTAGTCCTGGGTCATGCTAATCTCTTGGATGCTTTTGACTGAGCACACATGTTTGCAAGTGAACTGGAGTGAAATAACTCAGGAGTAGGCCAAGCTGGAATTGCTCTGCAGGAATGGAGAGGTTGGGCATTCCTTGTTCAACTTTTCTGTTGCGTTGCTTAACTCAGTGTCGGTCATGGCCATGACAGTGGGGATGATGGGAGTAGCTTATGGAGCAGAAAGGAAGGGACGGGCAGATACCAAATCCCGTTCAGCCCTCCTCTGCTATGCCTGCTGCCTTCTGTGGGTGAAGGGTGCTTTGCATCTCTGGGCCTTCATCCCTTTTGTCCCTCTACTGAAATGTCCTTTCCACTCTTCTCCAAAGGCCCAATCCTGCCTCTCCCCACAAAGCCCAGCTCAGAATGCCCCCTGCCCCTCACTCCCAAATCCTCCCGTTTCTCTCAATGAGGTTAATTGTCTACAGTGGCTGTCCCTCAGAAAGATATGTCTAAGTCCTAACCTACACTACCTGTGCAGGTGATCTCATCTGGAAATAGAATCTTTGCTGACATAATTAAGGTTAGAATTTTGAGATGAGATCATCCTGGATCAGGGTGGGCCCCGAATCCAATGATGGGTGTCTTTAAAATAAAAAAAGGAGAAGATTCACAGAGGAGAAGCCGTGTGAGGACAGAGGTAGAGACTGAAATGATATGTCTACAAGCCAAGGAGCACAGGGGATGCCAGGACCACTGGAAGCCAGGAGAAGGCCCGGACACGTTCTCCCTTAGAGCCTTCCAGGGGCACCCACCCAGCGGAACCATTGACTTTGGACTTCTAGCCTCAGAGCTGTTTGTGGTAATATGTTACAGCGCCCCTGGAAATGAATACACTGCCTTTTCCTGAACCCTCCTATTATTCTATCTTATTTTCTCTTGAGACCCATCAGTTCTGACACTATGTTTTATTTTTTCACACACACGTTTGCCTTCTACCAGATCACAACCCCCAGAGGGCAGGATCCAGCTTGACTGCCCTCATGCCACCTCTCTCGAGGATTCCTGAAGGGTTGGTACTCTGGTAATGTCTGCATGGTACTGCACGAGGAAGCTGGAGCACCAATGAGTTAATGCCCCTGAAGGGACTTGACCGACTCAGAGGGAGCTGGAGCACTTCCTTGGCCTCCATGGCAGCCCCTCCCCTCCATGGCTGGGTCAGCCTGATTCTGGCTCAGCCCTGAGACTTCTTTGTTGCTTCAAGTCTTAGGACGTCCTCACCCAACCTCCCTGGTAGACTTCAGACAGCACTGGGTGAGGGGCTTATCCTCTTTGCACCCCCGTTGTCCTCATCAGCACTTAGAGCCCTTGAGGACTTGGTCTCCAGCCAGATTTCAGGCTCAGTTTGTCTTATCTATCTGCTTGGCCGGTCCCCTAGCCCCCTGTCCCTACGGCGAACTCTCTGACTGCAGTGCAGTGATACCAGCCCCTTGGCAGTGGGTTGATTTGCGTGCCCACCTGCCCCCAACCTTATTTATGTGTTGGAGTCCCCAGTACCTCAGATTGTGGCCTTACTTGGAGATAGGATCGCTACAGAAGGAATTTGGTTAAAGTGAGGTCTTTAGGGTGGGCAATCCAGGATGACTGATATACTCACAAAAACTAGAAATTTGAGCACAAATATGTATAGAGGGAAGAGGATGTGAAGACGCAGGGAGAAATCAGCCATCTACCAGCTGAGGAGAGAGTCCTGGAACAAACTCTTCTCTCACAGCCTCAGAAGGAACCAACCCTGCTGACACCTTGATCTTGGACTTCCAGCCTCCAGAACCAGGAGATGTACATTTCTGCCATTTAACCCACCCAGTCTGTGGTCCCTTGTAATGGCAGCCCTCGCAGGCGACCACTCTAGTAGTTCTCAAACCATCCAAACCCTTCCCTGGGGGCAGGCGCCATGCTCAGAGGTTTACCTGAATTATCTCATTTAATTCTCTTAAAAACACAGTATCTGAAGTTCCTTTTTATGAAAAGAAGCGTTGTCTATGCTGGTTGGCCTGTGCTGACATTGTAAACGAACCCATCTGAATGAATCAAAAACAGCAGTCACAGGATTGCATGATATCCCAGAGACTACAACGGGAGGGACAGTTCAAAGGGCATAGCCATGCTCAGGCCAGCGTGAGTGGAGATGCCAGGGCTTCTTGTGGTCATCTGATATTAGAGGGGGTGGAACTTCCCACATTAGTAAGAGAAAGAATTTTTTCTAACTTGGAGGAAGCCATTCTGCAAGGAGAAAATCCATTTGTGACGCCCAGTTTGAAAGACTCTTACCTCACATGTGACTAGGACATCTGTGTCAGAAAGGAAGTGGGTGACTTATTGTATATCAAGTGCTCAGAAGAGTGACAGGCGCATAGCGAGTTCTGGGTAACTGTGGACCATTATTATTATTAGTATTCTAAAGTTTCTCTGTCAAGAAAGAGTGTCACAAACATTAATGATGGTTCCTACCTTGTACACTATGAGCTGATCCTATGAAGTTTATAGGACCACAGTTATCTACTGCAAGGATAAAACAGAAGCCATTTTTCTAGAATATTTCAGAAAGTAAAAGAAGATGACACAACCCCAACCATTTCCTGCCAAAGCCCTACATCTGTGGCTACGAACTTTGCGGAGCTGGTTTTTTATTGTGATGCTCAGTGAACCTCTCAGTTCTTACGTGTGGCTGCAAGCTTCTCTGCTATCATTTGGGCCTCTGTAAGGCTGCAGAGTGAGCCTTCTTCATGGCCCCTCCTTTTGCAGGTGTTTATATCTGCTCTCCAGTAGAAAGCCCTTCTCCACACTTTGCCATTAAGCAGTTTGCCAGAACAATTTGAAGCAAATAGGGAGGTTGTGGGAGAGTTCCCAAGTCACCCCTCAGAGATGGACTGAGATCAGAAACTTAGTAATTCTAACCTTATCAATCATCTTGGCTGTGAAGACCATCTTCACTGGCCTGGATCTTCCTTCCCCCAACCAAAACAAAAAACCAGTTAGCAGCCAGCACTTGCATCACACACCTGCTAAGTGCGAGAAATTCTGTGTTAGTTATTTCTATTTAAGCTACCTCATTCTTAGTTCTCTAAACTATGTGTGACAGCAGCTCATTTATTCTTCCTCAAAATTCTGTAGTGCAGATAAAGCTACTTCCTTAATGGATGAGGATACTGAATGAAATTTGCCTGGGTAAAATACTCAGGAAAAGACAGATTTAGGATTCCAATGTTGGTCTTCTTGGCTTCGGGTTCTAGGCTATTTCCAAATCCCCTGAAGCTTCTCAGTTTGGGAATGCCTGAGTCAGGGAGACCATTTAGGCTGGAAAGGACACGGTTGATGAAATACACTGAGAAGGTTCCACATATGAGGTCTCTCCAGAGATGTCTGGAATTCCTCAGTCAGAATCTCTGTTTTCGGCTAAGGTGCATTTACAAAGGGGCAGCAGAGGCTCTCAGTACTGACCTGGGGGGCACACAGCCCCCTGTTCCAGTGGGTCTCTAGATCAGATGGCACCACCAGCCAACGGAGGGCACAGGTGAGTATGGATGTCAGGAGAGGATGAAGAGGCTTCAAGAAGAGGCCGGAAGAGCTGGAAGAGTCAATGCAACAGGTATTGTGGGTGTTATTGGGAGCCAGGCTCTGGGCTGATTGCAGGCTGTGGGCTGGAGGGACGTGGTCTATGAGGGAGGAAGGTGGAGCACGTCTACAGCAGTGTGTGGGTCACGAGTGTCAATGGGAAAGAACATAGAAGGCAAATTCAAGCTATGTTTCTATGACCTTCGTGTCCCATATTGAAGGAACACATGCTGAACTTTTGGAAGTTTTGTTCCTTTGAAGCAGGTGACCCAGGCAACCCTTCCCAAAGCAAAGAAGAGGTCATTCTCATAATGCTGTGTACATCTCATCATCCCGGCATCCCTTTGCCCACAGAAGAACCCTACGAACTGTGAAGGGGAAGCAGGGTGTGTAATAGAGAAATAACACCCCATTTCAATTCTGTTCTTGGTGGAAGCCTAGAGTTGCTCTGAACCTTCTCATGAAAGATGGAGACAGAGCAGCTGTCTTTCGTGTGTCCAATTTCCTACATGATAAACTGACTTATTGGGTTATGTGGTCACAAATGTGCTATAAGGAAAAGAAATGCCATTGTTTGTGTAATACAATCTTTAGAGGGAAACAAAACTAACAGTTAGCTTGAGTCCGGGAATTGGTAGTGAATTACTAAAATTCAACTGTTTCTCTTCCCTTCATATCTCTGCACACAACACAATTCTTTCTTTAAAAACTAATCTGTATGAAATACGAGAAAAAGCAAAAATAGGCTATGAGGCCGTCTGGTAACAATAATGGAAGTAAATGGAGATCTAAATCCTTCCTGCAAAACTTCTTTTTGTGAGAGCTGGAATCTGTCAAGGACCCAGACTTTGCTAGGATGACTGTCTTCAGAGCCTTCTCCCTGGCACATTCCTATTTTCAAGGGTGCCGTGCTTTGGCATAATGTATTCATTGCAAGTGACACGTCTTGGTCGAGTGTCTAGAAGACACTGTCACGTGCTCTTTGTTGTAACAGTCATGAGTTAGTGAAAGGACCGGAGGCTTCCTGAAGATCTTAGCTTTGTAAACCTGTAATTGAAACTGCTGGCACTCACGGAAACTCGGCGACACAAGGGTCAGAAGCCAGCATGAAGACCAGAGAATTTCCTAAACTGATAGTGAGATCCTGGTCTTTGTCCCCATCCTGCCTTTCCTCTCTGTCACAGGTGACAGCCTGCACGCCAGATAGATGCAGCTTCTGTTCGACTCTGTAGCTCTTGGAAGACCTGGAAAAAAGAAAATGAGAATTTCGCTGATTCTTGGATTGACTGTGAACTGCAATGGAAATGCTCCAAGGGAAGCCAGGCACCAGTGAGACCTGGGCAACCCCCAATTAGACGCTTGGTCCGTGTGTGTCCCTTTCTATCCAGATCGGTCCTTGATTAGCCTTCTCTTCACTTTCCAGACAGCATCTGCAAAGGAAGACACACCACAAACATACCTGGATCTGAAAGTGTGAGGCGCTTGTGAAGGAACCATTAGGTGGCCTTGGTGTGACAAAGCGTTCCCTGGCACACATGACCTGAGCTTTCTACCAGGTCCTGTCTCCAAGGGGAGAAGGAACCTGTGTTGAGATATGGGCCAGCTAGGTGACACGGCTTCCTTCACAGAGCTGATGTCTCAGCATGGCTCCCACTCAGCCCCTGTCACCGGCAAGAGCCAAGTCGTGGCCAAGTGTTTTGATAATAAAACAGTAACAATAAATGATAGCCACTATTTTCTCCATGACTTTGTTTTGAAAGCATCAAAAGCCAGCAAAAAGACATTCCCGCTCCCCCCACCTTCTCAGCTTTGTTGTAGGTATAAATAAAAAGTGTAATTTAACAGATCAAAAGAAAAGCAGAAGGCCAGGCAGATCATAGGCACTTAATAATGAAAAGAAAAATTTACAAAAAGCTCAGAATGTATCAGGAGTTTGAAGGTTGAATAAAAACTCATGGGTATGCAGGGGGGTTGAGACTTTCCTTTTTAACAAGGACAAACTTGTAAGTTTCCCTTCCAGTCTCAGCAGCCACGACAAGGTACCATAACAAAATTATTTTAAGTCAGGGAAAGACAAATTCTGAACATGCAGGAAGAAGAGAAGCCCTAGAAAGAGTATATTTCTTGACTTCTGGACTCTCCTCCAGCTCTTTTTCCTAGGAAACTCCTAGCTTCAATTCAACATGAGAATTGTGGACAGAAAACAACTGTGGCTTTGGCAGGGATTAAGAAGTTGAGTGGGGGTGGCCCTCACTGTCCCTTGATTTAGGAGGGGAAGGCAGCTTTATTTTCAAGAGCAGATCTGAGCTGAATAAGAGAAATGGAACAAACAGAGAGGGCAAAACAAGAGACGCATAAATATCATTTAGCCTCAGCATGTTTTCAAAACATCTCAACCCTCCCAGAAGCACATGGTGATCCTAACACATGACAGTGAACTTGGACAATACCAGGGCCTCAAGAGGCCTTCTGGTGGTTGGTGGTGGGGGTGGGGGATGCAGGAGGAGCTGTGGAGGGCGGAGGAAGGGTTGAGGTAGGGCATCGTAGCAGTTCTCTCCTTCTCCAAAGACCAGCAGAAGGGATTCTGTTGGCTGTCTTGAAAAAGCCCAGTTACTCTGTGGGGTAGGCTGAACTGTCAGTCCTAAATATATATGTTTCTAACAACAATTTTCTGCTTGAAATAATAAATAAGAAATGAGGTTGCATTTTGTTTTCCTCTCTCTTATCACCTCCAGGGCACTTCAGATTCTTTAGACTGCCAAGATTAAGGGCAAATGGCCAGTGGTGACCCCTACTTAGGCGCCAATGAAGATGACACGCATTTTTCTAATGGATCATACTACTGTGTAACTTCATTCTCTTTAAACATGTCACCCACACTGTGCAATCACAGACTGTTCTTTGGAAGCAAACAGAAATCTAAATCCTTCCTGCAAAACTTCTTTTTGTGAGAGCTGGAATCCATCAAGGACCCAGACTTTGCTAGGATGACTGTCTTCAGAGCCTTCTCCTTGGCACATTTCTGTTTCCCACGGTGCTGTGTTTTGGCACAATGTACATTTTGCAAGTGACACACCTCTCCCTCACTGCCAAAAAGCAGTAAGTGAGGCCAGGTGTTCTTTAACTCACACTCCAGAGATGGCCCCATCCTTCTAAATTTTGAAAATTAAAAAAAATGTTCCCTGATGCTCAATACTTGTTCTCTCTTCACCCTTCTCCTGCCCTTCTCTCTCTCTCCCCCCAAACCTCCCCTCTGTGTTTTCTGATCTTCGTGAAGGATTTTTATTTTCTCGAGGGATGCAACAGCCTGGGTTGTTGCATGCTCATTCGTGTTATTCTTCTTTTTTTACTGTCAACTAAGTAGATTGTGTCATTTATTTTGGGTGGCTGTATAGACTATAAGCCAAACACAGAATTTTTGCTTTTTCTACGAACCCAGTAGACAGCAGGACAAAAGGACACTTCAACCCAGTAAGATGCCATTTTTTTTTGTCCTTGTGAAGGAAAATGAAAAGGAATAAATTGTTAATGTCTTCTCTTTTAGGAGATAGGATGGAGTGTCACCAAGATAGAAGACAAAAACATAAGCTGTGAAATGTGATTATAAAGTAGTGACATGAGTGCCAGAAACCACGGAGGAAACGTCTCCTTGTTCTGGATCCACACTTCATACGTGGTCATTGAAACGTGGCATCAAACGGGAGGAATGTGATGGGCCAGGTTAGGGGAAGAGCACCAAGCAGGGCCTTTCCCTGGGAGATGGCACCACGTGACATGCTTCATACGGAAGCACATGGGCCCTCAGCGCTGGTATCTTGCTTCACCTGGGGATGGTGATGAAATGATGCAGAGCTGACTCAATACGATACAGAGCTGACTCAATACGATGTGTGGGATCTTCCATCGTGAAGCAGCTGGGAGCACCAGGAGGCAGGTTTTCCCGTGCTTATGGAAAGCACCACATTGTTCTGCTGGGGACATGTTCTTTTACTCCAAGGAGTAGTGGATGTGCAATGGGCTGTCCTGCCCGTAGAGATGTGTGGGGCTGGCTGCTGAGAACAGATGGCAACTGGCTGGCTCTGATGCCTCAGAAGAGGTGAATGCATTCGGAGAGGCCACAGCTGAGAGTCCCTCAAACTGGGGAGTTATTATTCTAAAAGTTGGATTTTTAGCAAGATTTTACCAGGTGAGGCTGATTAAATGATGGTGGCAGGGGCGGGGAGAAAAACAAATAAAAGTGAGTTGAAGTCAACCTCTCCAGTTAATGGATGTGCGTCTCCTTTACCCAGTGTTCATGGGTCAGAAATCTCACTATTCCACTTAGTAACACACTTCTAGAATTTTTGGCTTCTGTTTTCCTGAATTTGAGCTCTTCTAGGACATTTTGTTTTGCAGTGGAGGAATACTTCCAGCAGGGCACCAACGGTGGCTCCACTGATTGCCGATCGAGACTTCTATCTGACCATTCGGGTCTCCTCACACCACTGAACCGCACAGAAAAGAAGGGCACCACTGGCTGGGGTGGACATGCAACCACCAAGAGGAAATGTGGTTGTTGCCATACAGTGGGGCAAGGGAGGATTCTCTGGAGCACAGGGGACTCTCTGGGCTGTCCCTTAGCTCTTCCATGTCTAATAATAAATGTTAAGGGAAAACTATAGTAACAACGAAAATGCAGGGTCACTGACCCCTTAGGAATGAAGGTTCCAGTCACTGTGTAGAGAACCCTCACAAGCTGAAGCCATGGCCGAGGACAAAGGAAAGAGAATGGCCAGTGCAGAAAGAAGCTGTACACATCAACGACAGCCTCATGATCAGTCAGAGAAAGGGGGACCAAAGCTACTCCGTGTACTCTCACATTCGTCATAAGTGTGTGCATGAGTGTGCTTACATATGAACATATTTTGTCTTCTACCTTCTCCCTCTCTTTACTTCTTTGAGCAACTATTGTTGGAGATTAATTTACAATTTTGTCTTTAGGTAACACGTTATTTGAATTGGCTGTGACTGAATTTGAGGAACAACGCGCCCACCCCAGAGATGGACAGTGGCCTGTTTTCAGGAGATGGCAGCATTGATGACTGGGACATTGTATCTCCTCATTCAAGGGAGAGAATGGGAATGCCTCCATTTCTTATGAAAGAGGCCCCACAACTTGTTAAGTTGAAACATGGATGTCTTGGGAGTTCCAAAGCTCACAGAGGGGAGTGTGTGGAAGCAAAGCCCAGGGCAGGCTGTGCCGAGTATGGAGCTTTGGTTTCTCAGTCCCAAACCTGCCATCCTCCACCCCGAGATGCTGGGCTGGGACGTTGCAAATCAATGCCTGCCTTGCTGCCTGGCTCCCTGTGAGGTCCTGCTGATTGGGCCGCTGCAGGCTGGAGGAGGGGGAAGGGACTTGCTCCTTCCTGGTTTGTCCTAGTTCTGCTTTCTTTCATTCGGTTCCCGTCAGACACCTGTCCGTGTCTTCAGGTTGGCAGTGGCAGTCCCATCCAGTAGCAGGAATTGAGATCAGTTTTCAGTTTTTTCCAAGATTCTCAGAACTGGCCTCATCACACTCTCTTAGGGCCGTGAGTGCCTGTTGCCCAGCGTCCCTCCCCTCTTCAGAGGTCAGGGACTCAGCCTCACAGGGACCCCGCTCTGATCTCTGGGATCCCAACCGGGCTGAGCATCACTTGATTCTCACGGGTTTTGCTCTGCAAGGCTTTCCCCCAAACTGTTAGGAATTCCAACTTCTTCCCTTTGTTCTCCTAGCCGAGGTGCGACGGCTGCTTCCCGCCTTTGCTACATCCACGATCCCTCACTGTTTCCATTTTGCCTTTTCATTTCTCCAGGTAGTTAGCAATTCTATGCATTACATTCTCTCTGTCAGAGTAACCAGTTTGGTTTCTGCCTCTTGTCTGCATTTTTAAACTTTGCTTCTTTTTTTATCTCTCTTCCTCACTCGTGGAATTGGTCAAATTTTCTTTTACCTGCTTTCAGAATTTTCTTTTGCCTCCTTTTAGAAGGTAATAACATACATTCTACTTTTACTATTTTAGAAATCATCCACTAATTCTTGATTCTTAATGCTTACTCGACCTTATTTTTTTTTCTAACAAAATCTAGAGATGGTTAATATTTCTACTCTCTTCTTGAACAAGTCAAGAATGGTTTACTTTCTTCTGAAGTCTTCTCTTCCATCTTTTATGACATTGTCTTTTATATCAGTTCTACTATCTTGATTTTTTTTTTTTTTGAGACAGGTCTCATTCTGTCACCCAGGCTGGAGTGCAGTGGCACAATCACCACTTGCTGCTACCTTGACCTCCTGGGCTTGAGTGATTCTCCCACCTCAGCTTCTTGAGTAGCTGGGACTACAGGTGTGTGCTGCCATGCCTGGCCAATTTTTATATTTTTTTGTAGAGACTGGGTTTCGCCATGTTGCCAAGGCTGATCTTGAGCTCCTGGCCCCAAGCAATCCACCCGCCTCAGTCTCCCAAAATCCTGGCATTACAGATGTGAGCCACTGTATCTGGCCTCCATCCTGATTTTTAAGCAATCTCTAACTAGCTGTAATTATGATCTGTACCAGTCAACTATGTAGACTGATCAGTGCATTTGATTTATTTCTTTGGTTACCATTGTCTTTTTGGATCCTCATTTTTCCCTTTGGATTCAACTTCCTTCTTGCCAGGGTATAAAATAATAATTTTTTTTCACCAAGAGTCTGCGGGCATTCAACTCTCAGTTTTCGTTGTCAGAAATTGTCTTTATTTAGCTTTTAACTTAGAATAATAATTTAGCTGGAATTTAGATTTCTTTGATGAAAACTGTTTTTCCCTGAGTATTTAAAAGATATTATTCATGGCTCCTGCTATCTGTTATTGCTTCTTGGAAATCTACTGTCAGGTTACTTATTATTCATTTTAGCTCTCTGCTTTGTTTTCTTATTAGATAACATCCAGGTTTTTTCTCTTTACTTTTGATATTCTGCAGGTTTATTACCATGTGCCTTGGAGCTTTTATTTATACTGTTCTGGTTTCAGTCTACTTATACAATTTGAAAAGTGATGTTTTTCCTCTCTTCTGGAAAAGTTTTCAGATATTATCACTTGAATATTGCCTCTCTAACTTTCTATTTTATGCACTTATTCTAGAACTCTAATTAGACACATGTTGACTTTTCTCACTGTACCCTTGTAACTTTTTTTTTTTTTTCTGTATTTTTGGTACAGATGGACTTTCACCATATTGGCCAGGCTTGTCTCTAACTCCTGACCTGGTGATCTGGCCTCCCTCGGCCTTCCAAAGTGCTGGGATTACAGGTGTGAGTCACCACGCCTGGCCACCCTTGTAACTTTCATATGTTACATTTTATCTTTCTGAACTATATTCTAGATGATTTTTCCTAGTTCTTTATGCTAATTCACTATTCTCTTCAACTATTAAACCCACCTATTGAGGCTTTTTGTATAATTTGTTTTTTTTTTTTGGAGGTTAATCTCTCCTTTTCTCTCCCATGCTCTTCCTTTATGCTATGTACATCTTTACATTACATATTTTAGATATATTTAGGATCTTTTCAGATTGTTTTATTTTTCTTATTTTATTTTTTGAGACAGAGTCTGCTCTGGTTTTTGGGCTGGAGTGCAGTGGCAAAATCATGGCTTACTGCAGCCTTCACCTCTTGGGCTCAAGGGATCCTCCTGCCTCAGCCTCCTGAAGTTCTGGGATTACAGCTGTGAGCCACCATGCCTGGCTAGATTATTTTATTTTTAGTTCTTGAAATGCAAATATTCCCATTTATTGTGTTTGCTATTTGCCCCTGTTGGTAGTCCATTTCCTAATGTGATTTAGAGTCTGAATTCATTTTTTTAAAAGGGCTATTTTCTACAGGAGTCTCCCATACTGCTGTTTTATGGAACTATTCCTACAGAGCTGTTTCTATTTCCCAGAAGCCTCCAGGAAACCTTTCCTGGCACCTCATTGGCCAGAGTGGAGTCACATGTTTTTCTCAGGCCAGTTGATTGTAAGGGGGAGGGAATTACCCTTAGATCAATCAAGTCCACCCTAATCAAGCTGAGGGTGTTTCAATCTTCCCCTCAGAAACAGGCTGAGAGGGAGGGTGGACACCTGAACCAAATCAGGGTTCTGTGAGGGAGAAATGTACATTTGAAACTTCAGCACTCCTAGAGATGTTCCAATTTGCAAAGAATCACTAGTTAACTATCCAGTAGACAAAATCTCCAAGGGATATGGAAGGGGAAGGGAGAGACAGAGAGTAAAAATGGAAACAAATACAGTAAGGGCAATTTTTTGATGAGACATATTCTGGTGGAGTAGCATTTATATGTTCTCTAGAAGTGACTCACGTTTTTCTGAAAGGCGACTTTGGCTTTTGTTGTTGGATGTGGAGTAGCACTGTACATACCACTCTGTTTTTCTTTTGTCTTTTTTTCCCTTCTATTTACAGGAAAATAAAAACAAAAGCAATCCAATGAAGAAAATGTAAACAAAATGATCTCTAAATTTCGGATATGGCAAGACAAAAATTTAGTATAAGAACAGTTTGAATTAATCTGTGAGTACACTGTGATCCTTTGATGAGTTCAAAGTAATTTGTAGAAAGTTAGTTATATTTTCAGTATTGACGCAGAGCTATGCTTTACTCTGCTTACACAACATAGTAGTTAAGTAACATGATAGGGAACACAGTGTCTGACTGTGGGTCTATCTGGGTCTAACACTATCACCAGCCACACAATTTTGGCAACATCTCTTCTGTGATTTGACAAGCTAAGTTCCTATAGCAGCAACAAAAGCCTCAGGGGTGCTGCCAATGCTCTATGAAGTTTTGCTAAGATTAGTCCACTTCCTTTTGTCGTGTCAATATTTGATGAGCATCCACTATGTGTCAGGCACTGTGCTGTGTCAAAGACGTGACAGGGAATCAACAAAGTCGCTGCCTTCATTGGAGCTTATTGAGGACCAAATCTCTGAGGAGATGAGAATATTGTAACAGACTTTATACATATTTAAATCTATGGACATTTCAATTCTTCATTATTTATGGGCATACTTGCCACCTTGTTGAAAAGTAAAGGTATTATTGATCCTAGTAATAGGTGCTAAAATACCCAACATTTAGCATTCTAGATATATCTAGCCTCTCCATTTGTTTGTGTGACTTTGTCCAGCCATTCACTCCTTCATTTTCTCAAGAGACGTTAGATCTTAGATGGCAGAAAGACTTCTCGGCAAAGGTGACAATTAGGCTGAAACCTGACGATGCGGGGGAGGAATGGTGGTATTGGTGGAAGTGAGGGTAGAGGTTGGCTGAGGCAAGAAGAATGTTTCCAGAGAAAGGAAAAGAGCAGCACATGTAAAGAACCTCAGCTGGGAAAGAGCTTATGAGGATAAGGAACGACTATTTCCTTCTCGCATTAAAGCCATCAGCTACCCCAAACCGTATGTCCCTTGCTCCCTCTGGCATTCCCATCTTAGACCCGGGAACAGTGGTTTTCTCCTTCCTATCTCCTTTGCTTTTTCCCCTTGCATCCTTTCGTGTGTCATCCTCACCTCACCCCTTTTCTATGTTCTTATCATTTCATCCTTGAACTTTAAGTCTGCTTGACGTTTTGTTGTTTTCTGGTCATAATGTTATTGTGTAACCTTTGAAATCTTTTGAGTCTATGAACATGCTTTGAATCCTGCTGGCTTTTCTGTAATGCAACTTTCAAACGCCATAATGTAAACTTGGAACAATTTCATATATAAGCCCTGTGAAAGAATCCCCATTTGTCCATCATGTTTGCAAGGGGGGTTTTACACATGTCTCTTTGAATTCCAGCCCCAATCTGTCAAGGAGGTGTTCTCATGAGGAAACCAAGGCTCCAAGAAGGACTTTGTTAAAATCTAAAAACTAATAAACAATGGAGGTCAGCCAGACCCAGGTCTTCGGACTCCAAATCTAGTGTTCTTCCCAAATCACTTCTTTGCCTTTTTCACAAATGATATCATTGCCCTAAATACAGACTGCAGATTTAACTTAAATAATTACAGGATCTCTTACACACAGCTTATGTTGAGTAGGATTCAGAGGCTCAATTGATTTTTGGAGATTGGAGCTGTATTTAGATCAATTATCCTTTTAGATGGCATGGACAGAACAGATTATGCAACTCAGTTTTATCTCCCACCCCTAGTCCACCCAGTAGAACTAGGATTACTTGTATTTGCTCAGACAACTTTTCGTTTAGTTGATTCTCTATATTTGCTAGATCAGGAGTTGACAAACTTTTTCTGTAAAGGACTACATAGTAAATATTTTGGGCTTGCACAACCTCTCGACTCTTCCACTCTAGCACAAAAGTGGACATAGACAATGTGTAAACAAACTTACAAAAAACACATGGCTGGTGGGATTTGTCCTCTGGGCTGTAGTTTGCTGAACTTTGTTTAAGATAAATGATCCAGATAAGTGATAAAGATTGTCTTATCTTTATTCCTCATATCAGTTAGGATTTGTTTCAACTCTGAATAACAGATCCTCCAGATAATAGTGGCCTAAACAAGATAGATGTTTATTTCTGTCTCATAAAATGCCCAGAGATGAGCAGTCTCAGGCTAGTATGGCATCTCTGTTCTGGGAAGTCCTCATAGTCCGTCCAACTCACCACTCTCCCATCCAGAGTGTGGCCTCATCCTTAGATCTGAGATGGCAGTATCCAGCTTCAGGCAGCAGGATGGAAGAAAAGCCAATGAAGCTTTTCTTCCATCGAAAGAAGTGACCCTTCGGGAAAATCCCAGAACCTGTCACATGATACTTCCTCTTTCATCCTGTTGGTCAGGCTCAGTCACATGGCTACTGGCCTAACTGCAAGAGACTCTGGGAAATGTGGTTCTTACTCTGGATGGTCATTTGCCTGGCTCAGAATTGTTACTGTGAAAGAAAGGGAAAATGGATATTGGGAGGTTCCTGACACACATGCTTCTTAATTCTTTCATTAACTGAATTTCAGTAGAAAATTCAGTAACTAAATTTTATTTTTGTTATTGCTAATATGATATTAACTAATGAGCACTCTTTTCTTGTTTAATAGGAATGATGCTAATGTTTCACTTTTAAGTATGAAATATTTAAACAGATTATGCATATTATCTACTATATTAAGTATAGTAGATTTCTGTCAGAGATCCTTTGTCAATTTAAGGAAGTTTTCTTCTAATTTTAGCTTGTTAACTACTTTTTAATCAGAAGAGAATAAGCCATAAAATCTTCTGATAAGGCAGGCCTGGCTATCCCACCCTCTTTATAGTTCACAAGAATAACCTTAACACCATCTGAATGGAAACACATAGGATTCCCGTGGAGGTGAGCCAGGTCTCCTCGATTCTCCAGGGCCATCTGGTCATGCTGTCAGTGAATTAGTCTCAGGGATGCTGATATCCAGCCTGGGGAAAGACAAAGCTGCCTTTATATAGAATCACTTCTTTGGCTCTCTGCAAACAGAGACCCTGCTCTGTCAGACTTAATTGGGGTTGGTGTATCATGATGATTTCCTATCTTCCTTTGTGATAAATATGTAAACTATAAAATGTCCCCCTGGGGTGCAGAGCTGTCACAGACTCTCGGTTTATATGGTCTGTCTCAGAAGATGGGAGAGTTTATTGCTTGCTATGGGCATAAAAGCACACCCCATACTCCTTGTTGAAATTGGAGTCTTCCAGCCCCTGCAGACACACACCCAAATGTTCTTACCTGCCATGCCTAAGGACTCCCTAAACCCAGGCAGAGAACCTTTTGGAAACCCTCTATGAAACAGTAGCTTCCTCGCTGACTTAGTCAACTTTCTATGCCTCTGGATTCGAACTGGATCCATTTCACCTGCCTTCTCCAGTCTACTTTGAAGGGGTGTAGATTTTCTTTTTGTTTAGTTTAGTTTAGTTTTGTTTTGTTTCTGACCCACAGCGCCTACTTGCCACTTCCTAAAGGAACTGCTGTTCTGGGTCTGGGCTTGTTGCCAGGCCCTTCCTGGGTGATGGGAGTCCTGCTCTGTCACCCCAGCTCTGTCCTGTGGGGCTGCTTGCATCCAAGTGCAATACTCTCTCTGCTCTGTTTGTGCCTAGCATAAGGCACATATCGCCTGCAATTCAAGCTTTAAGAGCCCGGGAATGTTTTACTACGTCTCTTCTCTCTTCAACAGAGCCTGTTCCATCAGCCGGGGTCCTGGGATGAAGGTAACGTGGAGCAGAGTTGCAGCTGATCCACGATGTGTTAGCGCAAGCAAGAAATAAACTTTTGTGATCCTAAGCCACGGGGGTTTTTAAGTTGTTTGTTAGAGCATGACCTATCCTATCCTGACTGCTGTACAAAATTAAGCAATTTCTGTTTGGCAGGATTTCCCAGACCCTCCGGAAGGCTGCTGTGCTGTGTCAATCTTTAAAATGGGAATGAGGTATATCATTTTTCCCAGTCTTAATGCCCAAGACTTTCTTAATGAAATCATCTACTGGGACTTGAACTGCTGTTCCAAAGAAGTTAATGGGATAAATGGCTACGTGTGTTCTGTGCATGAGTCATCTTCTTCCAATGAGATTGAAAGCCCCTCAGTGGAGTAGCATAGCATCCAACACAGAGTTCAATTCAACAAACTTGTTGATAAAAAAATCTCATCCTTTCCTGCCACCTCCATGCCCCACCCCATGCTGAAAGATTTATTTGTAATACCTGTTTCTTGCTTCGTGAACCAAGTTAAGCAGTCAGTGCATCCTGCTCATGTCATATGAGGCCCTGTCTCGCCCATGGAACTACCACTGACTTCTTTTTATTTACTTATTTTTGAGACAGAGTCTTGCTCTGTCACCCAGGCTGGAGGACAGTGGTGTGATCTTGGCTCACTGCAACCTCCACCTCCTGCGTTCAAGTGATCTTTCCACCTCAGCCTCCCGAGTAACTGGGACTACAGGTGTGCACCACCACACCTGGCTAATTTTTTTGTATTTTTAGTAGAGAGATGGTTTCACCATGTTGGCTAGCTGGTCTCGAATTCCCGACCTCAAGTGATCTGCCTACCTCGGCCTCCCAAAGTGTTGGGATTACAGGCGTGAGTCACCATGTCTGGCCACTACTACTGACTTCTACAAGTGCTCCCTTCTGGGGCAGCGCCTGGGAGGCAAAGAGCTGTGTGAGAAGCTTATTTCCAGAAGAGGTGATGAAGGTAAATCAATAAGATTCCGATGCTGTAAACTGGTCAAGTGTCACTCTGCAGCAGACATGCAGTATTAAAGGCTTTGCTAAAAAGAAACCTTTGCCACGTCTGCAGCTATTAGAAAACTTTTTGAATGTCTTCAAAGTAGGATCGCGACAATAGTTTCTTAAAAGGTGTGGTTGTTGGGGAGAAAAGAGAGGCTGCCATGAAGTCCTTTTCTTCTCAAAAGCAATTGCAGGAGAGATCCCTGTGTTCAGAAGAGAAGGGAAGGTGTGGATGGGAAACGCTTTGGTCTGCAGTTGATGTTAATCGAGGCTCTTCTGGAACCAGTCAGAAGCTGCCAGTGCCTGTGATTTCCCCAGCCCTCAGTGCTGCGAGCGAGGCGGCCCGTGAGTAATAGCAGCGCAGCCCACTCTGCAGTATGTGGGAGGACAATAAAGGTCAAACCACAGAGTGGGCTTCCAGCTGCCAGCACGGTGGCCTCTGTCCTTTCACTGCGAGGGGGCTTGGGAGGCTCGGGGAGGAAAGGGAAGGCTGGGTGTTAACGTGAGGTCCTGTCATGGTTTCCGTGGTAAACCATGGGTTTTCCAGGTCTTCAGATTCCAGGCCCACCGCCCTGTGGTTGCCATCTGCCAGCCCCTCTGGACCAGATCAAGTGAAGTCTCTCTCCCAGTACCCTTCTAGTGAGGAAGCAGACATCTGGCTCCTTATCATTGAAGAGAGAAAGCACTTATGAAATTGGATTTTGATTTGTGAGAGATTCAGGAACAACAGAATAATAAAACTAGAGATCAGTGGATCCAGGCGCTTTTTAAAAAAGTCGGCATTCTGGGGCACTTTCATTGTGCCTGGTACTGTGATAAAGATTTTTCAATAACTATTTTGTTTTGTTTTGTTTTTTGAGACGAGTTCTCACTCTGTCTCCCAGGCTGGAGTGCAGTAGTGCAATCATGGCTCACTGCAGCATCGAACTCCTGGGCTCAAGCAATCCTCCTGCCTCAGCCTCCTGAGTAGCTGGGACTAGAGGACTGAGCTACCAGGCCTCGCTATTTTTTTTTCTTTTGTAGATACAGGGTTTTGCTGTGTTGACCAGGCTGGTTTTAAACTCCTGGGCTCAAGCAATCCTCCTGCCTTGACCTCCCAAAGTGCTGGGATTACAGGTGTGAACCACCACACTCAGCCTAATAACTGTCTTTTCTAATCTCCCTGTCACCACTATGCTGTGGTACTATTACTATCCACATTTTACAGAGGACGAAACTGGCATCTAGAAGCTTAAGACCCCCATAGACAGCTGGGACCAAATTCAAGTTCAGCTAAATCACCAGCCTGCTCTCTATCATGCTGCTGCCCTGTATGGCCATTTTGGAAATTTCTGGCTAAAATAGCTACTGGATAGAAATGAACTACTACTATTGGTTCAGCATTTCTTCATTTATCCAGCGAACTTCTGTTGAGACCCTGCTGGTGAGGGCCCAAGGTGGATAAGGTTTGCCCCATCTGGAAGTCACCTGGGCTGGCTCAATTAGAGGGAGGCAATGCCAAAGGCAGTGGGAACCTTGAGGAAGGAACAACTCACTCTACCTGCGGCAGCTGGAGTGGACTTCCATGACATGGTGACATTGACGCTGAAGTGGGCTATCCCAAAGAGGAGAAAAAGGGGCAAGAGACTTGGAGAAGACTCAGCAAGGTGACCCAGGAATGGGAGGCGTGGGGAGTTTGGGAAACTCCAAGTATTTCCCTGCACAATGGGAGGAGAGGGAGGAAGTAGGAGAGAGTAAACCTTCTTAGTGCCACACTAGCTGGAGGGGCTTCATAAGAAGGCAGGTGATGTTACTGATGTTTTATTGAGATGATGTTTGCCATTGAGGATTGGAAGAGATGGGAGTGAGGTGAGGCGGGTGCTAGATGAGATCAGTCTTGAAGCCACTACTCCTCTGTGGTGGCATGAAGGATGAAATGGGCTGAGCAGGTAAGGAGACAGGTGCAATAGTCAGATGCGAGATGATGAGGGCCTGGGATGAGGCAGAGGGGATGGGTTAGAATGACATGGTCTTGGTCATTGAATGGATTTGGGCAAAGGAAGAAAAGGAGAACATTTTGGCTTCTGCCTCGCCCCATTGTCTCAATCTCATGCTAAAGGGGACTCTCTGTCTTGACTTAGTGGGTGCATACTTGAAAATGGAGTTTCAGGCTGGGCGTGGTGGCTCATGCCTGTAATTCCAGCACTTTGGGAGGCCAAGGCAGATGGCTTACTTGAGGTAAGGAGTTTGAGACCAGCCTGGCCAACATGGTGAAAACCTGTCTCTACTAAAAATACAAAAATTAGCTGGGTGTGGTGGTGGGTGCCTGTGCTCTCAGCTACTCAGGAGACTGAGGCAGGAGAATCGCTTGAACCTGGGAGGCAGAGGTTGTGGTGAGCCAAGGTTGCGCCACTGCACTTTAGCAAAAAAAAAAAAAAAAAAGGATTTCAGGGTGGCTATTACCTAAGTAAAGGTGGATGGGTTTTTAAGTTCCTCTGTTTCATTTGTTCACTTCTATTATTCATGTCTCTAGCATGAATCTGCAAGCAGAACCAGTCCCAGTGGAAACTGTGGTGGAGGAGGTTCGAAATGACAGGGGGTACATTATGTAAAGCTGCTGTCCTTTTTTTGTCTCCCGGCCGCTCCCAGCCTTGCACTGGGTCTCTCCCTGGTTACAGAGTACAGCATTCCAGAGAAGAACAGTTTGGCAGAAAATAAAAACATTTGGCATATAGTAAAAATAAACAGAGATCTGCAATGAGGAAATCTTAACCCTGAACAATTCATGGAGAAAATATCTTCTGGGATATTTGAACCATCAAGAGTTGGGATAATTTAACATATGGGCTATAAAATGAGGAAGAAGGAGACAAATTTAAATGCTTCCTTTAATTAGAATATCTTGGTGAAATTGGGTTATAGCCTCCTGGGACCAATTGTTTTATTTTATAACTTTTCCTTAAATTTTGTTTTGCATTTTTTTTCACTATATCAAGAAAGCCTAGACCAAATAAACTACTGAAACATCTGGGCTCAGAACTATGAGGCCCCCACATAGCTGTCTAAAGCACAAGAAAATCCAGGTTCAAATCCCAACTTCACTGCATACTCATGCTGTGACTTGAGGCAAGGGGATAACCCACGCATCAGCGTTTCGATCCTCAAGCTAAGAATAAAAACACCAAGGATAGGTTGGTCTGAGGACCAAATTATAGAAATAATATGAAAATGTTAGTCTACTACCTGGTCCACAGGCAACACAGAATAAAATGTTAGCTCTTTATTATATCATTTAATTCAAAGAGACCAAAGTCACGTGTAGTGGCATTTGGGCATAGCAGCAGGCACACAGGAAGTCTCATGGCCCAGCAGAATTGCCTTACTTAGCTTCTCTCTAGAGACAGAGGTGTGGGGCAGCCTTCATTGTGATTAATGAAACAGAGGTTGGCCAAGGTCTATGACAGCACAGGTCTTCCAGTCAGAAGTGAACTCCAGGCAGGGGTCCATTCTAGCTCTTGTGTTGACAGCACAATGTAAGAGACACTTAGTCTGTAAGAAACTTGAAATAGCCCATAACCTTCCTCACATCCTCCACCTCCTACCAAGCTCTGGGGCTGTCCCACTTTGTGCACAGACTGGAAGTTGTGCTTTGTTGACACTGGGGTAACGTAACTGTGCACATCTGCTAATGGGCAAGGTGGCCTGGCAGAGGAACGGTCTCAGGGGCTTCCCCTTCTGCAGAAAGGACTGTGGAGCTCACACCCTGAGTTTAGAGAAATGACCAGTCCCTTTCTTTCTTTCTGTCTGTGCTCTATGGGTTAATCTAACAATACCCATCAAAAGGAAGGAAGAGCCACGAGGGTCTTTTTGTTTTATTTTTAGCAGAGCCCTCCTTCCTGTCTGGTCTTCCCCAGTCCCTCACTTAGGTCCCACACTCTGTGGTGAGGCAGTCATGCTAATCTGCCTTACAACCAACTTTCCATCATCCTTACAATTAGGAGTTACTGTAAAAAATAGATCTGGAACAAGGGAATATACATCCTTAAAAAAAAAAAACAAAAAAAAAAAAACAAAAAAAACAAAAAAAAAAACAAACCAAAAAACAAGGCCAGGCATGGTGGCTCACGCCTGTAATCCCAGCACTTTGGGAGGCCAAGGCGGGTGCGGGTGGATCACGAGGTTAGGAGATTGAGACCATCCTGGCTAACATGGTGAAACCCCTCTCTACTAAAAATACAAAAAATGTAGCCGGGCTTGGTGGCAGGCGCCTGTAGTCCCAGCTGCTGGGGTGGCTGAGGCAGGTGAATGGCATGAACCCGGTAGGTGGAACTTGCAGTGAGCTGAGATTGCGCCACTGCACTCCAGCCTGGGTGACACAGCGAGAGTCCATTAAAAAAAAAAAAAAAAAAAAACACAAAAAAAACCCAGAAAAAGAACTTATAGGAATTTAGAAGTAATTACAAGTAATTACATCCTCACACTATCCTGAAAATTCAGTCCATTTCAGTTTTTAAATCAACATTTAAGGAAAATAACTAATATTTGTTGAGCATCAAGGACTTGACCCATTAACATCAAATCTTTAGTAATGCTCTATAAGTGAGCTCTATTTTCCGTATTTCATAGGTGAGGAAATGCGTGGCCAAGCTTAACAGAGCTCCAAAATAAAAAGACAGGCATTTGAAACCATCTGTGTCCAAAGCTCACACTCATTCCCAAACTCTGCCTGGCTCATCACTAAACCTAACAGCCTCAGCTAAGTGAGATAATCCAGTACCCCTTGGTCAGAAGTTTCATCTCCCAAGAAAAAGCAGATAAAGCAAATTGCTTTTTAAAAAAATTTCCATATGTATTTGGGGAACAGGAGGTGTTGGGTTACAAGAATAAGTTCTTTAGCAGTGATTTGTGAGATTTTGGTGCACCCATCACCAGAGCAGTATACACTGTACCCAATTTGTACTCTTTTATCCCTCATCCCCCATCCCCCTCCACACTTTCCCCCAAGTCCCCAAAGTCCATTGTATCATCTTATGCCTTTGCATCCTCATAGCTTAGCTCCCACTTATGAGTGAGAGCATAAAATGTTTGGTTTTCCATTCCTGAGTTACTTCACTTAGAATAATGGTCTCCAATTCCCTCCAGGTTGAATGGAAACAATGATAAATAGGTGAGACTTAATTAAACTAAAAAGTTTCTGCAGAGCAAAAGAAACAATTAGCAGAGTAAACAGACAACCGGCAGAGTGGGAGAAAACTCTTCACAGTCTATACATCAGACAAAGGACTAATATCCAGAATCTACAAGGAACTCAAACAAATTAGCCAGAAAAAAACCCAAACAATCCCATCAAAAAATGGGCTAAGGACACGAATAGACAATTCCAAAATAAGATATGCAAATGGCCAACAAACACATGACAAAATGTTCAACATCACTAATGATCAGGGAAATGCAAATCAAAACCACAATGCTATACCACCTTACTCCTGCAAGAATGGCCATAATCAAAAAATCAGAAAATAATTGATATTGGTGGGGATGCGGTGAAAAGGGAACACTTTTACACTGCTGGTTGGAATATAAACGAGTACAACCACTATAGAAAACAGTGCAGAGATTCCTTAAAGAACTAAAAGTAGAACTACCATTTGGTCCAGCAATCTCACTACTGGATATCTATCCAGAGGAAAAGAAGTCATTATGCAAATTACTTTTAATAATGAGCTCGTCTCTCAGAGCAGGGCTGGAAATACATGGCCTTTCTGCAGGTGTTGACATACCACAGAATCACAGTGGAAAATGATAGAAAACAAAACATCTTACTTCTACTTAACTAGTCATATGCTTTATTAAAAAAAGGATTTTTGAGATTATAACGAATATTAAACAATAAACTTGGGCCAGGCGCAGTGGCTCATGCCTGTAATCCCAGCACTTTGGGAGGCTGAGGCGGGTGGATCACCTGAGGTCAGGAGTTTGAGATCAGCCAGACCGACATGATAAAACCCCATCTCTACTAAATACAAAGAATTAGCTGGGCGTGGTGGTGCATACCTGTAATCCCAGCTACTTGGGAGGCTGAGGCAGGAGAATTGCTTGAACCTGGGAGGTGGAGATTGCAGTGAGCTGAGAATGCGCCATTGCACTCCAGCCTGGGCAACAAGAGCAAAATTTCATCTCAAAAGAGTAAAATAAAATAAATAAAATGGAAAAAAATAGGATTTTTAGTAAAGGAAATTTCGTTTAGATTTATTACAACTAACATGAATATAACATTTTATTTCTCTGAAAATAATAAAATTGGAATCTGCTGATAGACTGATAGAAAATGTATGCATGTACATACATTTCTATATCTGAAAATATAATCCGTGATGATGCAAAACATTGCTAGGTAACTTAGTGACTAGATAGAGGACTACATATTCAGCTTGCTGAACCATATAATGTGGGCTAGTTGTTAGCTCTGTCTTCATGCTGATTTTCCTAAATGGTATTTAAAGAACACTTGAGATTTTTAAAATTCCTTCTCCTTGCTCTTGCTGTAGCTAGGTACATATTTGTTTTATATGTTTTCTTTTTAGGAGGAGGCTAATTTTTAAAAATACAGAAAACAATACAAATAACAAAAAAGCAATAATTCATAAAGCCACTACCCACTGGTATCTGTTTTAATGTCTATGGCTTTATATTTTATTTTGGTAAATGATAGCATCTGTCTTCTTTCTTTGTTGATCTTCACACAGTTGCCTTGGCTTTTTGGCACATTTAAGAATTTAATAATCAATTATGTTTTAAAAAAATCCCTTGATGATTTTGATTGATATAGCAGTTATACAGTAATTTGAGAAGAAATTGAGTCTTGCCATCCATGAATGTGGTATAGCTCTTCACTATTCAAGTCATCTCTCATTTCATATTTAATTAAAACTTTCTCTATAAAGGTCTTGAAGATTTTTCTTAGATTTATTCCTATTTTGAATTTTTTGCAATTGCAAACTAGATCTTATTTTTACATTTTAAAACTTTTGTTATTTCCAATTTTTAAATTAAAAAAGTTTCTACTTGTTTGGATATATTTTAATTCTGCTTTTCTCTATTTTTTTTTTTTTTGAGACGGAGTCTTGCTCTGTCACCCAGGCTGCAGTGCAATGGTGCAATCTTGGCTCACTGCAAGCTCCACCTCCGGGGTTCATGCCATTCTCCTGCCTCAGCCTCCCAAGTAGCTGGGACTACAGACTCCCACCACCACGCCCGGCTTATTTATTTATTTATTTATTTATTTATTTATTTATTTAGTAGAGACAGGGTTTCGCCGTGCTAGCCAGGATGGTCTCGATCTCCTGACCTCGTGATCCACTCCCCTCAGCCTCCCAAAATGCTGAGATTACAGGTGTGAGCCACCGTGCCCAGCCTGCTTTTCTCTATTTTTAAATTTAGTGATTGATTTATGTATTAATCTCTCTTGTTTTGTAATAATTGCATATAAAGTGTATAATATTTTATAACCTGGGCTAGTTTTGAAGTTTTATATTTAATAGCAAAACAAGAGATTCCATTTTAAATAGTAAATTTACTTTAATAACATGATTAAAAGTTTTGCCATAATTGTATTTAAAGGTTTTGAAAACCAAGATAAAGTTTGTGCATGCAAGTATCTGTAGCTGAAAAAAAATTAAGGTAGTGGTTTTACAAACCAGGGTGGTATGTATCACTTGTGCAATGACATCAGTACATGAGAATCTTTTTTGTTTCTATGAAAGTACTGATGTTGCATCATCTACTTATTAAGTAATTGTTCTTTTTTTTTAAAATCTATTTTTGGGTTAAAACAAGATTGCCATCTTTCCTTGGATGGTTTTTCACATTGAATTACTGTTTCATCATCCGTTAGCCTATTGTGGATTTGATTTGGAATAAGCAACTGATCAATAGAAGAAGACAAATGCTTATATTTCACTGCAATTTTAAGAAATATTGCCCACGTTGTTATCATTTTGCTATAATAGAACATTAAAATGTTAAAAATTTTAAATGTAAAAAACTCTTCTCATCAATCTTAATTGTACTTATTTTTGTTATAAATGGTTACTTAATGAATAGATACTAAAAATTTTAAGTCAATTTAAATTGATTTTATTACTTTTTCATCCACTGCATACAAAATTTGTTACAATACTTTGAAAACAGTTTTTGAAGTAATTGAAATTTATTCCTGTCTTACACATGTCAATGGAGTAGATTTTTAGGTTCAAATAAAAATTCTGAAGACTTAGACTCAATATTTGTAGAGGGAAGAATCTTTGGAATTCCATGAATTTAAAAAATCTTCAAAATATATTTAAACATATTCAATATATAACAGAAAAATTCCATGAACAAAATCTCAAACCATTTTTTATTTATAAAAGTTATACTTTTGTTCAATGTAGACAATTTGAAAACACAAAAAAAGAAAAAAAGCAAACTTTTGGGTAATTAATGAGAATTTTGAAAAGATTTTGAGAATAACTTCTCTGTTTGTGGGTATAAACTTTAAAATTTATGATTCCACCCTTGGCCTAGAGTGTGAGGTCCAGCATGGGCCAGATTCCTCTTAGGCTGATCCTAGCATGCTCCTTCCTCTGGTCTTTTTTCCATCCATGTTTGACCCTAATGTGCCTTTCCTGGCCTTCATGAGTTTTCGCCTGGTCCCTGTCGAGCTGTCCTGCATAAGAGCTTGCATTCTGGGGCCGGTCTACTTGGGGTTAAGTGTCAGTTTCTCCACTTAACCTTAGTGGGACATTGGGCAAGTCTTCTAACCTCTGCTGGTACCCTCATCTGTAAGATGATTGTAAGAATAGCAGTGTGTATTTAACTGCTATTTAACTAAATAATGGCTGTATTTAACTCGCCATTTGACAAGTCTGGGCGATACGATGTTTGTGCACACGAGGCAAGCAAAGACCTGACACATCCTTGTGAGGCTAGGTTTGCCCTCTTGCATTTCAGTTGTCATTAGAAACACATGCCCTGAGTATCCATCCTGCTGGTCCTAGAAGAATAACAGACACTAGAGAATGCCTGAACTTAACCTGTGTTGGGCACCCAAGCCCACCGGGTCCAGCGGAATGCTAGACAACCTGGAGATGCCTGAATAAGATGCAAATGCTTGTTTTCATGAGCTACTGTGTTTTGAGATGGTTTATTCTGTGTCATTTTTGTGACACTAGCCAATTAAAACAGTACCTGCTGCATAGAGGTATTATAAAGGTA
Source organism: Homo sapiens (assembly GCF_000001405.40). Lineage (NCBI taxonomy): Eukaryota > Metazoa > Chordata > Mammalia > Primates > Hominidae > Homo > Homo sapiens. The sequence goes on from NC_000006.12 coordinate 159,086,163, forward strand.
ATTAGGCACTGTGTCTAAAGTACTTCAGAGCTTATCACAAAGTCACAGCTTAGTGAGTGTTGGGTTTTTGAGCTCAGTTTCCAAACCGCTGTGTCATGTCCTGCCTCCCTAACTGTTTCCTCCCAGTGGGCTGATTTTTCCACCTTGGGACTCTTTTGTGAAAGGCACACAACGCAGCTATGGTGGCAATGCACCTGGCCTGATTCCTGGGACCAGCCTCTCCTCACATGCAGCCCCAGAGTCAGAGGGCAGATGCCTGTGGATGAGATTCTTTATGGATACAATCATTTCATAGTTTCAGATAGTTAAAGTGAGAACACTACTCATATCAGAAACACTTAGAAAGATTCTAGAAATAATTTTCTTTCTACCATTTTTTTCCCTTGCCAGTATTCACCTGAGCAGTGAAGATAATCTCTGGTTCTAGAGAACCCAGAAATAAAGCCACATGTTTACAACTAAGTTATCTTCAACAAAACTGACAAGAACTTTCATTGGGGAAAGGACACCCTTTTCAATAAATGGTGCTGGGAGAATTGGATATCCACATGCCGAAGAATGAAACTGGACCTGTATCTCTCACCATATAAAAAAAATCAACTCAAAATGGATTAAAACCAACCGAAGACCCCAAACTGTAAAAATACTAGAAGAAAACTTAGGGAAAACTCTCCTGGAGATTGGTCTAGGAGAATAATTTATGACTAAGACCTCAAAAGCACAGGCAACAAAAACAAAAATAGACAAATGGGACTTAACTAAACTAAAAAGCTTCTACACAGCAAAAGAAATAATCAACAGAGTAAAGAGACAATCAGTTGAATGAGAAAAAAATATTTGCAAACTATTCTTCTGACAGGGGACTAATATCCAGAATATACAAGGAATTCAAACAACTCGACAGGAAGAATCAAATAATCCCATTAAAAAGGGGGCAAAGGACATGTATAGATATTTCTCACAAGAAGGTATACAAATGGCCAAAGATATATGAAAAAAATGCTCAACATTGCTAATCATCAGAGAAATGCAAATCAAAACAATGAGATATCATTTTACCCCAGTTAGAATGGCTGTTATTAAAAAGAAAAAATAAGAGATGTTGGCAAGGATGTGAAGAAAAGGAAACTCTTATACACTGTTGGTGGGAATGTAAACTAGTACAGCCATTATGGAAAACAGTATGGACATCTCTCAAAAAACTGAAAATAGAATTACTATTCTATCCAGCAATTCCACAACTGGGTTTTTAGCCAAAGGAAAAGAAATCAATATATAAAGGGATCCTTGCACTCCTATGTCTATTACAGCACTATTTACAAGACAATGATATGGAATCAACTAAGTGCCCATCAACAGAAGAATGGATAAAGAAAATGTGGTATATATACACAGTGGAACCCTATTCAGCCAGAAAGAAGAATGAAATCAAGTCATTTGCAGCAATGTACCTGGAACTGGAGGTCATTATTGTAAGTGAAATAAGCCAAGCATAAAAAGACAAATATCTCATGTTCTCCCACTTAGATGTGAGAGCTGAAATATCTGATCACATGGTGGTAGAAAGTGGAAAGAGAGAACAGAGATGGGAAGGGTGATTGGGGTAAAGGGGTGAGGATGAAGAGAACTGGGTTAAAGAACACACATACAATTAGATAGAAATAAATTCAATTTGTAAAAAATAATTTAAAAAATTAGAGATGGGATCTCGCTGAGTTGTCTAGGCTGGCCTTAAACTCCTGGGCACAAGCAATCCTCCCACCCTGGCCTCCCAAAGTGTTGGGATTATAGGCTTGAGCCACCGTACTGGGCCTAAATTCATTGTTTGGTAGCAGAGCAGGATGAGTATGGTTAAACAAAAATGTATTGTACGTGGGTGATGGATATCCTAAATACCCTGACTTGATCAGTATACATTATATACATGTAACAAAATTTCACATGTACCCCATACATTTGTACAAATAAGAAAAAAATATTTTAAATGTAATCTACTGTTCCTGTGGATGGAGGTGACTTTTTCCATGAAGCCAACAATCTCAAGAAAAAAATTGTTAAATAATATGTAAAATGAAAGTTAACATCAGCTTTCTACTTCCTTAAGATGTCAAAAATAAGCCAGAATTTTTTAAACAAAGTTTAATAATTCATCTAAGTAAGTTGTCACTTGACAAATGGCAACATACCGTGAGGGAGTATTATAACTCTGGGACTTGGGCAGGCATGCAAGGTGCGATGAAGAAGAGATACCAACTTCACAGAGCTGCTGTTGGCTACTAAATACATCAAGACGTATGAAGCGATAAACCTGGTGCCTGGGCCATAGGAATGATCGACCTTGGTATTAAAATTTGGCATAGGCTAAGTGGAGATGGGTGGTAATGAGGTCATCCTTCATAAGTGTCCAGCGGGGAAGACAAGATTCAGGACAGCCATGGACATTTGGATGTTTATGACACCAGGGAACAAGCCATGATGAGAGCTTTTATACATTTTATCACATGTAAAACGTTTCGTGAATAATTAGGAATAAATATGAATCTTGTTATGTCTGTTTCTATTTTATCAACTTGGATCATTATTAAAGATGTTCTTTTTGCCTGTTTGCCAAATTATTTTGTTTTGAAAACAATTTTATAGCATTGCAATTGTGACAATTTTTTTCAAAATAAGTAACTCATAAAATGAATTTGTTTATTTATTTATTTTTGAGACAAAATATTGCTCTGTTGTCCTGGCTGGAGTGCAGTGGCATGATCTCAGCTCACTGCAACCTCCGCCTCCCGGGTTCAATCCTCAGCCTCCTAAATAGCTGGGATTACAGGCGTGCGCCACCATGCCTGGCTAATTTTCATATTTTTTAGTAGAGATGGGGTTTCACCATGTTGGCCAGGCTGGTCTCGAACTCCTGACCTCAAGTGATCTGCCCGCCTTGGCCTCCCAAAGTGCTGGGATTGCAGGTGTGAGCCACCACACTCAGCTCCATAAAATGAACTTAGATGTACTCAAACTTTCACATCATCTGTAATTACATTAAATAGTGATTGAGAAGAGTTAAAATTTAGTGAATGAATTGAGCTTATGTTTTTTAAAATCTTACTTTAATTTGATATTTTATGTTATACTTACACTAATATTAGCTAATAGTTTACTTAGCTCTGTAATAGCTTTTAGTAGGAAAAGTATTTTGAATGCAAAGGTATGCTGATGTATGTCCCACAGTAAGACACAATTAGACACTGATCGCTCATTATCACCAGTGACCTCTATGATGCCTGATCCAATCCCCAAATCTCAGTGCTCACATTACTTGACTTGGGTATGGGATGTCCATAAGATTCTTTGTCAAATCTGCCTCCTTTTGAGAGCAAAAGGGAGCCTGATAAGTAATAACACCAGGACGAAAGCAGATGTGAGCTGGGACCTTCCTGGGCAAGCCAGTATAAACGACTAACCCTATCCCACAGCAGCATTTGCTGAAGTTGCTCACTCTCTCCTCCTTGATGCACTTTCTTTACTTGGTTCCAAAATGCCACAGTCTCATGATTGTCCTCCCACTCGCAAGCCTCTCATTCTTGGCCTCCTTTGATGATTTCTCCTCTTCTCCCCAACCTTTTAATGTTGAAGTATCCAAGATATGGTCCTTGGTCCCCTTTTCATTTCTCATTACACTCAGGGCTTTAAATATAATCTGTATGTCAATGAGATGGTTTTAAAAAATATGTCCACCAACCCTTGTTGACTGGTTCTAGTGAGTAGATGATGGCAGAAATGATGGGATGTCATTTCCAAGATGAGGTTATAAAACTACTGTGGTTTTTATGTTGGGTACTCTCTCATTCTCTTTCGGCTCACTCATTCTGGGGTAAGCCAGGGGCCATGTGAGGTTCACAGGATGAGGATCTGAGGTTTATTAACAGCCACACAAGTGGGCGTGGAAGTGGATCTTCCAAGACCTGCACCACCTGTGTGAGTGAACTTGGAAGCTGATCCTTCCTCAAACTCGCCTTCAAATGAGGTAATGAGGTCATCCTCATTACCTACTAGACTACCTGTTAGACAGGACTGCAGCCCTGTCTAACACCTTGACTGCAGTTCTAAACCAGAACCACTCAGCTACATGGCTCTCAGAAACCCAACCCACAGAAACTGTGGGTTAATAAATGATCCTTGTTGTAAGCTGCCAAATCTTGGAGCAAACTTGTCCAGCAATAGAAAACTAATATGGGCGACTCCAATATCCAACTGCCTCCCACCATTTTCCTTCAGACGTCTAACAGCATCTCGAGCCCACACGTCCAACACTGAACTGCTGATCTCACAGGTCCAGAACCTGCTTCACTCCACCCTTTCTCATCTCAGTGGACGGCAACTTCATCCTTTATTATATTATAACTCTGTGACTTGGGCAAGCATGCAAGGTGCGATGAAGAAGTGATACCAACTTCACAGAGCTGCTGTTGGCTACTAAATACATCAAGATGTGAATTCCAGGCCAGGGAATTTCAGTCCTCTTTGATTTTTCCCAAAAGGGGAGAAAGCCCCACCTCCAATTTGGCAGGTTGGTCTCACCTTCAAAATGAACTAAGAATCCAGTCCCGTCTTACCGCCTCAGCTGCAGTTTCTCCAGTCTGAGCCACCATCATCCCATGCCTGGATTTTCTGCAGTCATCTTCTAACACTTCCCCTTCTTCCTACCCCTGGCATCTCCCTGAGCCCTACACTATTTTCAGCAAAGCAGCCAGACCGAATCTTTTAACACAGAAGTGAGATCATATTATTACTCTGCTGTCATTTTTTTCAATGGCTTTCCATCTCACTCAGCAAGGAAAACAAGCCAAAGCCCTGCCAAGGCCCATGAAACTCTGTTTGATCTGCCGCCCGCCACCTGCTGACCTCCTCCTCTGTCCTCCTGCTCTTGCTCCCTCCCCTCCATCCCTGCAGGCCCGCCTGCAATTCCCCGATGTGCTTGGCACGCTCCACTCTCTGGCCTTCTGCTCTTGCTGTTTCCTCTGCCATGAATGCTCTTCCTCTGGATATCTGCTTGGCCAACTCCATATTTTTGCTCAAAACTCCCTTTTGCAATGAGGCCCACATAGGCCACTCCAATATTGCAACTAACCACTCTCTTGCTGTGAATTGCCAATTCCCCTTGCCCAACTCTCCTTTCCCCCCATGGCACGTACCACCTTCTAACAGACTAGATCATTTACTATGTTTCTCATCTATTTTCTACCTCCCCTGGCTGGCACATAAGTTCCACAAGAGCAGGACTCCTTTTCTATTTTATCCCAAGTACCTAGAGTAGTGCCTGACAGTATACCACAACCTATGGAATACAGCAAAAGCAGTACTAACAGGGAAGATTATAGCTACTAAGTGCCTACATCAAAAAGGAGGAAAAACCTCAGATAAGTAATATAACGATACATCTTAAAGAACTAGAAAAGCAAGAGCAAATGAACCCAAAATTAGTAGAAGAAGAGAAATAATAAAGCTGACAGCAGAAATAAATGAAATTGAAATGAAAAAAATACAAAAGATCAATGAAGTCAAAAGATGGTTTTTTTGAAAAGTTAAACAAAACTGACAAACTTTAGCCAGACTAAGAAAAAAAGAGAAGATCCAAATAAATAAAATCAGAAATGAAAAAGGAGACTTTACAACTGATACTGCAGAAATTGAAAGGATCATTAGTGGCCACTATGAGCAACTATACGTTGATAAATTGGAAAATCTAGAAGAAATGGACAAATTCCTAGATACACACAACCTACCAAGATTGAACCAGGAAGAAATCCAAAACCTGAATAGACCAATAACAAGTAATGAGATGGAGGCCATAATCAAAAGTCGGCCAGTAAAGAAAAGGCCAGGACCTGATGGCTTCACTGCTGAATTCTATCAAACATTTAAAGAAGAACTAATACCATTCCCACTCAAACTATTCTGAAAAACAGAGGAGGAGGGACTACTTCCAGACTTATTCTGTGAGGCCAGTGTTACCCTAAATTCTTCAAAAATCAGGTTGTTGGATAGTTCAGCCTTTGTGAAATGAGAAAGGCAGGTTATGTCCACAAGTGAATGAGAGCATGGCATGAAATTCACACTGAATTTACACTTTCAGCCTAAAACAAATAAAGCGATTTATTTAAATTCACAGAAGATGTGGGAGATGTACTTTTGCAACTTTTATTTTAAAAAATAATGTTGAAGTTGTGTCTATTTTATTCCAAAACATGATTTTTGGCAAAGAAATAAGATCTTTTGTGGAGCAAAGTGAATGTTATTAAATATAGGTAAATGCTGGTAAATATATCCAGTAAAGGTCTTAAGCTTGGATGTTCCTTAAATATGTCTGATGATTTAAAATATATTAAATCCATCACAGGGGGCAGCCAGGGCCAGCTCCATGAACAGGTGACCTGTGCAGCCCCTGGGTCCCCAGGCTTGGAGACCCCTGTGGTTGGTTTATCGTTCTGCTCCTGCTGTCTTAAAATTCCTATTACTCTTTGAAAAAAGGGCACTGTCTTACAGATTGTGTAGCCGGTCCTGGGGGTGGTTATTATCAATTGTGAATGGCTATTGCCTCAATGGAAAAGAATATTTCAAAACCACTTGGGCAAGTTATGAAATATGCCTTTGTATGTCATACTGTTTATAGTAAAACACAACTGAAAACACTTCCCTTCGCCTGTGGAGTCACTGGCTGTGCTGTTCTTGTCAATGGATTGCCAAGGCTCTCCTGGACGTTTATTCGCTGAACCTAATTGCACAGATCTGAAAACAACCATGTGGTCATAATTCACAAGGCTTTAAAAATCAGGTATCTAGTCCTATAAAAAACAGTAAAACTTCTTTAAGATAGTTCCTCATTACACATATTGGAATATGGTACCAAGTATATCTTGAAAACTTACAGCTGAAGATTATACTAAAAATAGAAAAATTAAATAAATTTCCCAAACACATGAGTCTCACTCTTTGAATTCAACAAAACCAAAACACCACACAAAGTAAAGAGTCAATCATGATTCCTTCCCTTTGTCCATGAAGGCTGGCAGATTTTTTAAAAATTAATTAATTAATTAATTTTTTTTTTGAGACGGAGTCTCGCTCTGTCACCCAGGTTGGAGTGCTATGGCTGGATCTCAGCTCGCTGAACCTCCACCTCCTGGGTTCAAGCCATTCTCCGGCCTCAGCCTCCCGAGTAGCTGGGATTACAGGCGCCCGCCACACACGCCTGGCTAATTTTTGTATTTTTAGTAGAGATGGGGTTTCACCATGTTGGCCAGGTTGGTCTTGAACTCCTGACCTCAGGTGATCTGCCCGCCTCTACCTCCCAAAGTGCTGGGATTACAGGCGTGAGCCACCGCGCCCAGTCGAGGCTGGTGGATTTTAAACCTTTCTGCTACATTATAAACTCTCTGAGAGCTTGGACTCTGACTCCAGAGTATGGCAAAACGGCTTGAGTGGAGCAGACCCTCTGTGTGCCGGGAGCCATTAGCTAATAAGTGATTGAGATTCATTTCAGGCTGGTGGAGGAGACTGAGATCTCTTCTCTGGTCTTCTCTTTTTGTGAGTGGGTGGGGCCTCAACCCTTCTTGGAAAGCACATCAGAAAGCGACTCTACTTCATAGGAAACACTGCACACACGTGCCAGCCGGTTCTAAACTCTGATCTTGTAGTTATTCTTTCAATCCCCACCCCAATCCATCCTGTGAGGAAGATGCTATTTTTATCTCTACAGACGAGAAGACAGAGACACATAGAGCTTAGTCACAGTTGGTAAATGGCGGAGAGGAGATTCAACCCCCGCCTGGGTTCCAGAGTCTGCGCTTTGATCCAGTTTCCCGGGGCCATGTCCCCCAGCATGGAGAAGAGCTGGCTCAGGAGGAGGGGGCACAGCCTCCCAGGTGGTCGGAGCAGCGCGGGCGGAGGCGCAGAGGCAAGAAGGAGCTGGTCTCTTTGAGGGCGAAGGCGGTTCATAGGGTGTGTGCACATCTAATCCCTCTCCTTCGAGAGTGCCGCCACCCTCATTCTTAGGGAAGGGGCGGGGAAGGGTTCCTGGGATCGTCATCCTACCTAAGCACCCCAGTGAGTGTTCAGTTCCCTGCCGCAGCTAGTGCCCTGTGCCCAGTGGGAAGCCACGTGGCCAGGCCTAGCGAGATCTCCGGGCGCGGTGGCCCGTGTGTGCCTCTAGCCAGGCCGCCGTGGCCAGGGCTTGGTGGTGTGTTTGACGCTAACCTTCCATGTCAACTCTGTGCGTTTCCCCAACACCCCGCACTGACCCTGTCCTCCTGGCTGCTGGTGACCCCTGACTCCCTGCCTCCTGACTGCTGGTGAGCATGCTGAGTCTGTTTAGAGGGGCGACTCGGGGAGTTCCTGAATGCAAAGTGAGGGGTGGTTCAGGCCACACACCTGTGAGTGCCCTGGGTACCAGCCCGCGGCCCAGAGCCTGGCTCAGGAGCTCAGCTGGGGCGCTCGCGGAGACTGTGACAAGTGTGCGTTCTGAGCCGTGGCAGGATTTCCCCAGCTGCTGTTTGTGCCTCCCCGGGGCTTTCTCAGGTCTCTGAAAACAACATATCCCGGGCTGGGATACGGGGGGAGGATGCCAGATGGGTTTTGAATTCTTTGAAATCTCCAAGCACCTAAAAAAATAATCACGGTGGGTAGGTGTGGGAAGCTCTTTAAAATGTGGCACATTTCCCCCAAAGCTTAAAATAGAGCTTTTCAAGGGAAATTAAATGGAAGTATAAAAATATGTAAATGCTCTTCCTTCCTACAAAACAGAAATAATGTTACAGGCATCACCCCGGGGCCCCAGGCCCCTCCGTAGTCAGCACCAGCAGTGCCAAATATGGCCCATGGCTCTGGGTTTCCTCCCTATATTGACTCTGACCAGGGACATCAACACTTCCCCCAGGGGACCCCACTATTTCTCTGATATGTTCTATTTGCCTAATGTCTGTGTTTATCCCTCGTTTTTTTGTTTTTGTTTTTAAACTAGTGTGGGATTTTTAGAAGGTTGTCACATGTTCCTTGGGCCTGTAGGTTTCTTTGTGAAAAATATACCACGTCCTGGGAGTTGTGGCTCCAGTCCAGAGGCTGCTCTAATGCACACATTGAGGAGGTGTTCATTGCAGAGCTTCCCAAAGAGAAAAATGGTGCAGGTCATGTTAACTCAGTTATCGACTTTCTCAATTTCTGATTTCAACTTTATTGCTATAAACACATTATTCACTTTTAGTCAAACCAAAAAGTCAAGTTTGCATAGGGCTTTTTTTTTTTAAATGATGGATTTTCTTTACTTTTCTTGTCCTAGTTTTCTACCCACTACCTGTGTGATGTTGTCCCAGGGATTCAGCCTCTGGGTGCTTTGCTTGTCAAAGAACAGGGAAGAAGGACGGAGCCACCTAAGCCTGTGCAGGCTGGAAGCGCTGGTAACGTGGGCCAGGCTGGGTCCCAAGCTCTGGGGCCCCTTGCAGTGCCCTTGGGTGTTGCTAGGGTCTTGGAAAGAGATTGAGTTTTAGGAGAGAGCAAAGCGATGACTGCCACCAACTCACCTCTGCTTGGCAATGACCAGCCAGTCCCTGAAGAGGAAGAGGTGCCTCCTGGTGGTCTCAGGGCCCTGGGTCAGCACCATGGGGCTGTGAAGGACAGGCTCAGCGTGCTTGAGGGGCAGGCCCAGCTGCAGGGACAGCTGCTCGAGGGTCACTGCGGATGCCAGGCTCTTCCTGAGGGCGGGGGAGAGTGGGATCAGTCCTGAGGGAAGAGGGTTCCCCAGGGAGCTGGCGTGCAATGCCTGTGATGTCTCCAAACACCAAGTCACCACTAGTGTGGCTTAGTCAGAGTGGAAATCAGCAGGAAAAAAGTGCAGACTTTTTTTCTTAAAATTTGAACTTAAACAAAATGAATTTACAATAAAGCACAGCAAATTGAGTCAAATTGTTGGACCTGATTCAGGTTATAGCTAATCACTGCTAGTAATGTCAATGCTAAGGATTTCTGTGAGAATTTTAACCGAAGGCAATACTTTCCAAATATTTTCATGCCATAGCACACACAGCAAAGATAGCATTTATATCACACTCTGAGGGAAACTGAGGCAGCCAAAGGCCTACCGGCCCACCCAGGCTGGCCCACACACAGAACGGAGAGGGTCAATGCCGCGGCTTTGGTGTAACTCATTTGTGGCACATGGCTTAGGAAGCTCTGACGTATTCCTTTGATTAGCAGAAGTTTTCCCTAAAGGTTAAAAAGGTCAGGGTTTCCCTGCTGCTAAGTCTAAACAAATGTCTCTCAATTCATGGTTTTCTTCCATAGAGTAAGTTAGCCGCAGAGCAGATTAAACATCACCTGTGAGACTCAAGCGGTCATCATTCATTCATCTGGACTCCAGCATCTTTTCCCTGTGCTTCCTACAATTCTAGAGTCACCTAGCTCCTGTTGCCCTTGAAACATGTTCTCCTCCTGGTCCTCTACCCTGTGTCTGGGGCCGATGGTGAATTTAGGCCATGAGGGGTCTGTCCCTTGGCCTGCTTTTCCAGTTGCTTTACCGCCACTCCTTTCCATTCTAAACACAGCAGTACTAGCTCTCGCAGGCACATCTCCATTACCCAGGGAATCAAATGTGATATTTGAATAAAGATGAGTTGGGATACGTTTCTGTTATTTAAAAGGCAAACATTAAAACATTTTGATACTCGGCTGCGTGCAGTGGCTCACGCCTGTAATCCCAGCACTTTGGGAGGCCGAGGCAGGTGGATCACTTGAGGCCAGGAGTTTGAGACCAGCATGGGCAACATGGGGAGATCCCCATGTTCAAATATTTCGCCCACATCGCCAGAGGCTCTGTAAAGGCCGCATGTTTTCATGTGCTCTAAATCTGCAGATGGTTGGGATGGCTGGGGCGAGAGGTCAGAGCTTTGACCCACATTGTGTTTAAAGAAATATTTGTGTATTTGTCTCTACAAAAAAATACACAGATTAGCTGGGTGGCATGTGCCTGTAGTCTCAGCTACTTAGGAGGCTGAGGTGAGAGGATAGCTTGAGCCCAGGGGGTTGAGGCTGCAGTGAGTGGGGATTGCACCATAGCAATCCAGCCTGCGTATGAGATCCTGTCTCAAAAAAAAAAAAGCAATACTCAGTGTTTTCCAAAAATCAATTAAGTGGCATGAGTCTTGGATTTCGTGCCCTGATGATGGGTTCCCGCTCTGGAGTGGGACTCTGCTCTCTGGCCTTTCCACCCCGCAGACACCTCCCACAGCCTTGTGAATAAGTCAGAGCTTTCTCTCCATCAAGCGGGGGTGGGCGTCTATAAATGATACAGCCCAAAGGAAAGCCTGGGCGGCTCTGAAGTGGTGGTGTTTCAAGTCTTGCTGGTGGTTAGTTTGCTATTTAGGGAGAGAATACAATAGAGAAATTGGGTCTCAAACCGTAATGCATGGGAACTAGAACTCTCTGCTCTGTTTTTAAATGGCTTCTGCTTCTCTTTGAATTTATTTGGAAACATGTCTGGCTATTTCCATATATTTGAGGGATATATAACTCCCAGGTATGGAGCAAACGTTGTCTCTCCGGCTATACCCATCAGAGCCTGCTTCACTGCCTAGCCCAGAGACCACCCTCAAACGCCTGAGGGGAAAGTCAATGGTTGAAGTGAGTGCTTGGGAGTGGTGGGACCGTAGAAAATGGTAGAAGTTGTGCTGGGTCCAAAGGGACAGCCCATGAGGGCCACATAGGAATGCGGGCCCAGTGTTACTGCCAATGATTTAAAACGCCAGTAAGCCGACATTCTATTAAATGTCCATTCATTCTAAACATTTCTTTCTTTTTTTTTTTTTGAGATGGAGTCTCGCTCTCTCACCCAGGCTGGAGTGCAGTGGCACAATCTTGGCTTACGGCAACCTCCGCCTCCCGGGTTCAGGCAATTCTCCTGCCTCAGCCTCATGAGTAGCTGGGACTACAGGCATGTGCCACCACTCCCGGCTAACTTTTTGTATTTTTTTTTTTAGTAGAGACGGGTTTCACCGTGTTAGCCAGGATGGTCTCGATCTCCTGATCTCGTGATCTGCCCACCTCAGCCTCCCAAAGTGCTGGGATTACAGGCGTGAGCCACTGCCCCCGGCCCTAAACATTTCTTTAAACACAATGTGGGTCAAAGCTCAGACCTTTCGCCCCAGCCATCCCAACCATCTGCAGATTTAGAGCACATGAAAACATGCGGCCTATACAGAGGCTCTGGCGATGTGGGTGAAATATTTGAATATTTAAAATAAGATGTTATGAACCAAATTGAGAGGAACAGATCTGTATTTGTCAGATAATTATTCATTTGAGCTTGAAAAAGCATGCACGTGTAGATAATCCACATCCAGTCAAGTGAAGTAGGTCAAGTTTCTTTCCTGAGTATTCTGCTTGCCAGGCACCTGTCCGCATGTCAGTCTTGGTCTGCCCACGATTTTTGTTTTCTTTCCCCTCTCCTTTGATCGCTGTTCCTCCTCATGCTCCCTGGCCAGTCCCCCGCCCTCCAGCCCTATTTTGCACTTCCTTGTGATCCCAGGAGAACTGTACACTTGCCGGGGTTAATTTTTCTGACACACACAGAGACCTAATTTGGTGATGTCATTAAAAAAAAGCACTCGTGTTAACCATATTTCACAACAAAGGCGCCTCAGCACTCTCACCGGAGGGGAAATTTTTTTAATGCACTGAAATAGGAAACAAGTGACGTGGCGAATACCTGGTGAACGGAAACAACTGTGCCCTTTGCCTTTCCATGCACTGATGAATTTCCAGCGGAGTGGGGCCTGCTGGTGGCTTCGCACAGCGAAAGTGCCGCCGGGCCCTGCTCCATGGAGACCTGATCTTCTCTCCCCAGAACTTCACATGGGAAATGATCTAGTCAACTGGGGCCCTGCTGAGTTCAGCATCAGCTCCCAGCCTGAATAGACTTCAGGAGCCTGCTGGAAGTGGGAGAAGGAAGGGTGGTCACAGGTGCACCCTGGGAGTGGGTGGCGAGGCCTCTTAGGTCAGTTTGCCCAAGTGTGTGCTCCTCCGATCTGAACTCCCAGTATTTGACTGTGGATTTGGCATAAAGGTATGGAGAGTGGCTCAGTATTTGGGGGCTCTTTGAATTACTGGTGACTTTGCAAAAGAAAAAAGTGCAGTTAAAGGGATTTCAGCCATAAGAAGCCTGACCTGGAAACCATCATTTCCTGGCATCTGGGGTTTCGAGGCAACACAGCTGTGGGTCCACCATTCCACACAGCCTGGATTAACCTGCATTGGAGGCCCCCTGCATAAAGTCATGGCGCATACAGCTCTCCAAAGTCACGTTGTGTGGATGCAGTTGCCCTGAGGTATAGGTACAAGCCTGTCATCCATTGCTAAGCACCCACAGCATCTCATCTCATTTCTGGCAAGATAATCAGGTTTTGATTGGCAAGATAATCAGGTTTCATTTTCAAGCCAGGTGTGGTGGCTTACACCTGTAATCCCAGCACTTTGGGAGGCCGAAGTGGGAGGATCACCTGAGGCCAGGAGTTTGAGACCAGCCTGGGCAACAAAGTAAGACCCTGTCTCAAAAAAAAAAAAAAAGTTTAAATTAGCTGGGCCTTTAGTCCTAACTGCTTGGCAGACTGAGGAGAGAGGACTTCCCTCAGGAGTTTGAGGCTTCAATGAGCTATGATAGCACCACTGCACTCCAGCCTGGGTGACAGAGTAAGACTCTGTCTAAAAAAAAAAAAAAAAAAAAAAAAAAAATCAAACTTGGTCCTCAACCTATGGCATGAATTACCATTTTCTTCAACAGGGCTAACACTGACTGCCTGCCATGTGCCAGGCTAATCTCTTTACCCTCATTCTTTCTCAATCCTTACAACACTCCTATACAATTAGGGCCATTTTATAGATGAAGTAACTGAGGCTCCGTGATGTTAAGCAATCTGCAGACCTCTCAGCTGGCAAGTGGCAGGGCTGCGAGCTGGAGTCAGGCCTGTCTGGCTCCAGGGACTTTCCCTTCTCCACATGATCAAATGTTGCCTTCTGGATATTTTTCATTTACTTCTTTTTTCTCATCCACTGACGTTCCACACTCCTGTGGCATGTTGCCTGCATTACTTCAATAGTTTCTGCTATTTTCCTTGCATCAGACCTTAATTCCCTCAACTCTCTGTCCCCCTCCATCCTCCCTGTCACTGCCCGAGGAATTCTCTCAAATATGTATGCCTCAATCACTCCCAGGCATCAGAGCCCACAGGACTCCTCAGTCCCTTTGATCGATCTCGCCAGGCTCTGTGTGCTAACCCTGGCCCCTCTCTGCTGCTTGCCAAGAGGCCCTCTCCGCATTTCAACCCAGGGACCACTTGCAGCCTAGAGTGGGTGTCTCCCTGCAAACCTGTGTCACCTACTTGTCTGGCTCATCTGCCTGTCTCGTCTGTTGTAACGCACGTGGTCTCTTTCATTTCCACAGCCCCAGCATAGTGCCTGGAAGTGGGACGTGCAGGCACTATGGAAAAAGGACTTGGGTGGTTCCGAAGGGAAACCAGGCAGTGGAGGCAGAGGCAGGGAAATAGAACCACAGTGAATGGATGAAACCTTCACAGATCTGTTGAACGACCTTTGATCTTTTATGTGCCTTGCTTGATTTGCTTTCCACTGAGGTCACCTGCATTTCTCTCAACCTATCCTAGCCCTCACCACAGCCAGTCTGAAGTCAGATGGCAAAGTTGTGGAGTGTTAGAAAAAGCAGTGGCTGGTGGAGCAAATGGGGGTTGGGGGAGTGGTGGGGACATGACTCCCCCTTGAGGGCCCTGCCCAGCTGTTCCACAGCAGCCTGGCTGGCCCCTTCCTAGGCAGCCTCTTTGTCTTAGCAGCGTCTTTCCAAGGTCAGCAGGCTCTTTCGCGATAAGAGCGGACATTGCTGAGCCCTGACTCTGTACCCGCCGGTGTTCTAGAAGAACCTGCACTTGATCCAACAAAGCAGAGAGTTCTTGGGTCCTTTTCTTTCCTTTTCCTTTCTGAAACTGTATAATAAACACATAAAAGTAAAAAATATTTACAATACCTTATAACAAATGCCAGATGCTATGTATTCCCTGTCTACTGGCTGGCTGTTTTGGTTTTTCTATTGAGATTTTGCTCTTGAGTGGTAGTAAAATGCCATTTTCCCTCTGTGATTCTATCATTAGTTTCCCAATAATTTCTTTAATAATAATAATATTTGGTATTTTAGAAGGTTTAGAGTTCAGAGCACTTTCCCCCTCATCATCTCACTTGATTTTAATTCTCGTCTACCTCATGAATAGGGCAGGAATCCTCACCCCCTGCGTACAGAAGGGGGACCAGAAGCTCAGAGAAAGAAGGGGCAAACTGAAGGAATCACTGGCAGCAGAAGGACATAAATCAGGCCCCAGATTCTCAGTTTGCCCTGTTGTGCACATCAACAATTCTTATCTTTTCATTACATTTGTTGATTTGGTTGATCTCATCAGAGACCGTCATCTAAAGAGTCAGTTGTATTCAGGCCATGCCAGAATGTTCTGTTTGTGGACACAGTGAGCTAAGGCGGTGCCTCTGGGCTCAAGAGAAACGCCGCAGCAGGGCAGGAGGCAGGACCATGCTGCCCATGTGTTAGCTCGTCTGCAGGGCCAGGCGTGTGGCGGGTTCCAGTCTCCGAGTGTGGTGGTAGGCTCAGCGCTGGGAAATTTCACGTCTCAACACATCTCTTGGGAAAAAGGACTTGGGTGGTTCTGAAGGGAAACCAGGCAGTGGAGGCAGAGGCAGGGAAATAGAGCCCCAGTGCATCTGCAAGTGTAGCTGAGGGTGCAGCGTGGTGGAAGCACTTTATAGTCTACACCAGGATTTCTTAAACAGGAGTCTGAGGATTGCTTCAAGGGGGAGAGGGGCAGAGATTGTTTTTTTTTTTTTTTAAAGAAGCAGATTCTCAAAGGGCTTCATTCATGTCCTCCCAAATATTGAGGACTCACTCTTTAGTAGGAATTCCATGAATAAAGGAATAACATATGACATCTGAAGTGGAGTTGTCCCTTATTATCCTGTTTGTTTTCAAGGTAGCCTCACAAATTCAAATGGCGTCCCCTGCACCCTTCAAACTCGCCCTGGCATTCAGAACGCTGCTATTCTCTGCTTGGAAGGGTCCTCGCCTGGCACAGCAAACTCCCATGTTTACCAGAATCCGACTCAAATCTCACCTCTGGGTGGTGCCTCCTTAGACCCCTGGGAAGACCTGGGTACCCTCCTCTAAGCCTGCCCAGCACCCTCTCTGTCTCTAACACCTGTCTCCCTGTCCTGTAGTGACTTGCTCACCTGTCACTATGTTGGAACACCTTGCTGTATTCATTTTCCCATCCCCAGCATTGATCTCTGTGCCAGGTTCACAGAAGGTGTCCAGGAGATCGCTGTGTGATTGACAGTCTGGAAGCTGGGCTATTAAGGGCAGTTGTCCAGCCAAATCTGAGTGAAACTGGGTCAGGATTTAAAGATGTGGTTAGTCTGATTCACATAGACTCTGTAAATGTCACTGAAGATTATCACTGGCATTTGGATGGTGTGGTCTCTGTGACCACAGGGCAGAAAATTCAATTATTCAGCACTTGCTGTATGCAAAGCACTCTACGGAATCCCATGAGTAGGAGGAAGTCTCAAAGAGGATGAAGACATTGCCCCTTCTTCCAGGAGATGTTTAAGTTCTATTTGATTGGGTCAAGCTCATATAAAATTCAAGGTTTTGAGGCTTGGTCTCATGATCAGACTAGCCAGCTTGGGCCAGAAGTGTTTTGCGCTTGGATACTCTCACAGGTACACTTCATATTCTCAAACTAAACATCTGGTAACACAGAGCAGTTGGCAAGATAATCAGGTTTCTTTTTGTAGGTCTTCGGAAGGAGAACAATTGGATAGTATGAGGGGATCATTTGCCAATTATAGATAGTAGCCCTGGAAAGCACTGGAGAGACCTGGGCCCTAACACGGGGGAAAAGTTCAGAAATTCATCGACGGGAGCGGAAGTTAGACACATTTTAATTTCACGTGCTGTCTTGAATACTGTGTACCACGGCAGCGTCTTTACTCGAGACTCAAAATCATTTGACTCTTCTACAAACTGGATTCCCATTCAAGATTTTCTCATTCTCCTCTACTGTGGATATTAGCTTGGAATAGATCATTAGCGTCCATATAGAATTTGAAATCTTTATTTGAAGTTATAACCGCTAAAAATGATTGTTAAAATCATGGTGTGTAGATTCAGATATGAGGTTCCCAGATAGCAAATTTAAGCCTTCTCTAACCACACCCCTTAAAGGGCCTCTGCGGACACCTCCACCCCCTTGTGAGACCCAGGAGTCTCTTCCAGAGTGCAGTAGCAGAGGAGTGGCTTCCCCGGGGAACAAATACTGCGTGGTGCACCGTGGTCCCGACCAGACACGCTGGCCCTCCTGGAGGCCTCAGGCATTACTTAGACCTTCAGCCAAGTCTCTCTTCTGTTTGGAGAGCTTGGGAAAGCAGTTTTCATCTCCTAATGGAAAATGAAAATCTGTCATCACCTTTCACATCATCAGCCTCCTGGAGCCCCCTAGTCCGTCTGACTGCAGTTATGTCCCAGATAATGAGGCTTCAAGCAAGCCCCCTAAGTGCACAGCGCTGCAGGCTCAGCCCTCTCTGCACTCCTCTTTCTTCCCCGCCTTCCTCTCTTCTGGATCTGGATCCCCCCACACCTGCTCAGTCACCAACAGCAACCTGCCGGGTATCAGCTACCCCACTCTGGGGTGGCGGTGGCTCGGGTGAGGACAGGGCTGTGCCTGCAAATGGCCCCCTCGGGCCTTTCTCCCTGTCCCATCGCTCCCTGCTTCTTTCACAAAAGTCAACATCACAGCCTGTAACCCAAAGGCTGATAGGATGTGCGGATAACAGCTATATAACCTTAATTCTCAAACGATGGGAGACAGCCAGGGAATTTCGTGTCAGCTATCCACTGCTGTGGCTCCGTGGAAATGCTTCCAGCACAAACAACCTGTGTACACTGCAGAACCTTTCACTCAGGAGGGAGGTCTGAGCACGGCTAGTTTTTGCTGCCTCGGAAGGGGTCAGGGCTCCCTCTGCAGGGAGCCCGTGGTTCTGCCGCAGCAGCGGAGCCTCCAGCGCCAGTCGGTGACCCTCCTGCCCATGCCTGGGAGGATGTGAGCTCTGGTGCCCCAGGCAGCCTGGAATTGTGCCCTGGGAGTGGGGCTGGGGCAAGGGAGAGGCTGCAGTGTCATTACAGGGATGTCCTCCTTTCCTGGAGGTCACTTTGGGCTTGACCACGGGCTGTCCACTGCCTGGCGTGGTCTCTGATTTGCTGCTCTCTGCGGACCCTTGGTTGTGCTCTTTCGGGCTTATCTAACCTTACTCATGCAAAGACCCGAAGCTCTGGCATTCCCCATATCTGACCTGGGATCCCTAGTCTTTCTCATTATCTGTGCTACCCCCTCCCAGAGTGTCCCGGGGAGAATCACCGCATCCACTTCCTGAGGTGGGTTTGATGAATGATGCAATGTGGCTATGGTGAGGGCGTCTGGCCTGTGGCAAATGCCCAGTAACTGGCTCAAGCTTTTGTTCTGCCTGGTCCCGCCTGGCTGGGAGCCTTAGGGAGGGATATTAATGCTTATCCAGTTTGGGCCAATTCAGTAAAGAAAACTTTAAACTTAAACAACCCTCTTAGATGGACTGCATTTTACTTTTGTGAATTGGGTTTTTTTTTTCCCCTGCTCTTTGGTTGTTTTTGGAGTATAATAACATGATGCCAAAAATACCTTGGTGATTCGTGAACAACCTGATGTTTTGCCCCTGGGCTGCCACGTGTCTGAGGACAAGCTGGGTGCTGCTTACACCTGCATAGTTCCTCCGGGCAGCAGGCTCACACTCTGCTGCTGTCATGTAAAGCACCCTAGAGATGAGATCAGCCAGGCAGGCTGAGGTTAGGCCTCTGTTCATGGAGAGGCTCAGTGCCTTCATGGGCTCCCTGGCAGCGGTTCAGTGTGGTGGGTTTTCACCTACCTGGTGTGTGGCCGTGCCTTGCCTAAAATCTTGTCCAGTCCAGCAGCTGGCACTGAGGAGCAGCTCTGAGCCAGGTTCCTGAGCTGTGGGAACAAACAAAGCAGGGCTGATCATTGTCTTGCTTGGTAGGAAACGGCAGCTGCACTTAAGGCACTCATGTAAAAAGTGTGTTCCTAAACAAAATGGAGAAAACCAAATTGTCTCCTTGTTATCCTCTGCTCTGCTGCACTGCCTGGAAGGGACTTACACCTAAATTCGGAATAAATACATTTATCAACGAGGTCCCAACTCTCGGACCATTGGTGAATGGCCAGGGATGCCTGATTAGATGATAACATAAGACAGTTCCGGCAGAAAGGGGCGGGCTGTGGACCCTTCTGAAGCTCCAGTGGTTGAACTACTGGATTCAACTTAAAACATCAGTCCATTTTTGCATTAAGTGAAAGCAGTAGTTGTGCAAATCATTGTACTCACACTGGCCGAGGAAGCACCAGGGACCGAAAAGGACAGGGTGGAAATCTCCCTCCCCAGCCCTCTCTTAGCCTGCTTGGTGTGATCAGGACTCTTGATTTCTGGGTCTCCAATGCAGTGACTCTAACTCTGAACATTGGCTGTGTTTCCAGCCCCTTTCATGTGTGGCTATTTGACAACCAGTAAGCAACACTTTGACTTCATTTCTGCAAAATAAAGATCACCATTGTTTTCTCGACTGTGTCCAGCTGTGTTTATTTTAAAGTACCTTGTTTTCCATTTTATTGAGAATGGCTACAGAACTCTGCCATATGCTCTGCATTAATGAGAGGGCATCTGTTCCATCCCATCGTGCTTGGTCAACATCTCACACACTCTGTTTACTCCTACTTTATAAGCAATAAGGAATCTCCAACAGATAATGGAAGAGTTGCTTCTTTCCAGACTGGAGGTGGCTTCGTGCAGAAGTGGAGAAGTGAGCACCCTCCCTGGCCCCTGTGAATCAGGTCTTCCTGGCCTGGGCTCATTGGATTTTAGTCTCATGTTAAAAGGACCCAATTCCTGCCAGGTGTGGCATTAGATTTCACTGAGAGTAGAAATCCCTAAACATCGAACCCCCTGATAATCAAATGCAAAAACTCATTCCAAAGACAAACAGAAATCATATTCATTGTCAAAAATCACATGGACCTTCCAGGATAGGAAAGAACAAGGAAGATGGTCAGGTTTTACCCCTCAGATGATCTTATAGGGTAAATGAGGAGTCAGAATACATATGAATACAAAGAGATGAACTGCAAAATCAGGCTGCAAATGATCAAGCTGTGGTGAATCAGGTAGACCAGAAAGGTCCTCTGAAGAAGCCGTGCTGGTGGGCTGGGCCAGGTCTCTCTCCAGCACGGTGCGCCCAGACCAGGTCCAGGACAAAGCTGGATGATTGAACTAGAGAAAAAAAAAAAAGACAACCAGGTGTGGCTTTTTGAGTGAAGAATGAGCCTCTTCTGTCTAAGATGCCCCATCTGTGTCCTAGCTAATGCCTAGCACCACCCTTATAAGGCAGGAGAATAGGGAATTAGGGTAACCAAGGGTTAAGGCATAAGCAAAGGAACAGCAGGTGCAGCCAGTTCTAGGCAAGATTAGGCAGCATACAGGCCACAACCTCACTCCTGTGATAACAAAACGGAAGTTTCCACTTCAGCCTCTGATTGGTTGGGGGCCCATCCATCATAGCGGGTAACCAATTGGAGGCCTCTAAAGGGAATCTAGGGGTGTTACCAAATTATTTCAGCTTAACAAAAACCCCAAAGAACATTCTAAATGGGGCTCTTGAGCTGCTTCGTTGATCGAGCCAACTCTCACTCTATAGAGTGTACTTTCACTTCAATAAACCTGCACTTTCGTTGCTTCCTTCCTTTGTTGCTTTGTGCATTTTATTAAATCCTTTGTCCAACACGCCAAGAACCTGGACAACTCACAGTCACGACTTCCTATCTGGTAACACTCATTCCTTTGCAAAATGTTTCTTGATCTCTGTTAAAAGGCAAGTACATGGTAAGGTGCTCTTATTCATGTACTCCTCCAGGTGAATGATTTGATGTCTTCCCTTCCTAAAACCAGGTTTTTATGGGAGAGGAAGAAGTGGGGAGTATGAAGACCCCAGGAAAAGAGTTTTTAAAGAGGAGGAGATCCAATTTCACACCTTTGAGTAGTCCAGCTCTGGAATCCAGTACAGGATTTTTGGAAGATTCACCAAGATCCATCTTTCCTTTTCCTGCTATTCTTTCCAAATAGGTAAAGAAGTAGCTGAGGGAAACGCAGCTTTGTGAGGGAAGCCTGGAGCGTGAGAAATCTGCTCACACTGGATTCTGCCTCGGGCTCGACAGAATGTCACAGCAGACCCGCGATGTGACAGGCTCACTGGTGTACACACGGCTGTGTCGGCCATGGCCCTGTCAGGTGGGTCAGGAAGGAAAGGCCCCCCAGTTCATACTTCTGAGTCATCGGTCAGATAGGAATCACGTTCTTTTTTTTTTTTTTTTTTTTTTCACTCACACAGCTACCCTGAAGCTTCAGATCTACTTCCTGGCTCAGACCACCTGCAACACACTGGTTTGGCATCTAGCGGGTTGTGCTTGCAGAACAGCAGGCTGGCTCCGTGCACCTGCTCAGTGGGGCTGGGCTTTAGCAACCTGCATTGAGGCTGCTCTTCTTAACTTTTCTCTAACTTGCTTCATGAAAGTTAATTCTGCTGGGACCCCACGAGGCAGCGGAGAGCCCACTCTGCCCATGATTGGTGCCCTGGGCTGGCACGCAGAGTTTAATGGAGGAGCCCGGGAGAGAGGGATGCCTGAGAACCAGGGATGTGGGCTGGAGCAGTGCCACCTCCTCTAACTCACCCGCAAGCCCAGCCAACCGGCTAAACCTTCCCCACAGAGCCTCAGTCTCCTTATCTGTAAAATGGGTATGCCTTGTGTTTTCCCCTGCGTTTCCTTGCTCCCCTTGGGAATATGACAGTAGTTGAAGTCAGCTTTCTAAGCCTTGTCTTTTATGAAATGTAATGCTTTATTTTCTCGTGAAAAGAAATGAAGCTATCAGAGACCAGGCGGGAGATTTTTTTGAGCGTAGAGTGAAGAGTTGCTCTTCCTTTCCTGCCCTCAAAATGTTCCTACAACCTTGCTCTTTAATGGGAAGTATTTTTTTTTTCAGACATAGTATTAGAGTGATTCTGTATATCTAACACCTTCATCAAACCCTCTGAGAAACTGGGAACTTAGTGACTTGTGCCTGGTTCAGCTGTTTTCTCCAATGGATAATGTGTGCCTAAGGACAGGGACCACATTCTCTTACTCAGTTTTCTATCCCCAGAGCCCACCTAGAACAGAGCGGGGTGCTTTGTAAGTGTGTGCGAAGTTTCTGTTGAATGAACAAATTAGATGATGTCATGTTCCAGGAGGGCGGGAGCTGCATCTGCTCTGCTCTCCCTTTCTCTCCCAGCCCACGGCTGACCGGAGTCGGTGGCTGATAATGTGACTTCTAATGAGTTCATTCACCAAATACTAAATAAGCAAAATTACAAGTGATTTTCTTATTTTGAGACAGGGTCTCCTTCTGTCTCCTAGGCTGGAGTGCAGTGGCGCAATCAAGGCTCACTGCAGCCTCGACCTCCCTGGCTCAAGCGATCCTCCTGTCTCTGCCTCTGGAGTAGTTGGGAGTACAGGCACACGCTAACATGCCAGGCTAATTTTTTTTTTTTTAAATAAATGGAGTTTTGCCATGTTTCCCAGGCTGATTTTGAACTCCTAGGCTCAAGCGATCTGCCCACCTTGGCCTCCCTAAGTGCTAGGATTACCAGTGTCAGCCACTGCGCCCAGCCCACAAGTGAAAATTTTAAACTATATTTTGTTAGAGAGAGAAGAGGGAACCCGAGGCCTGGATAACATGCAAGATCTTCATAAGACTTCATAGCAACAGCATTCACTTGTCATATTTTGATGATCAAATTGGAGAAAATACCTCTTAAATTCAAACCTAGGGGCAAGGTAACATTTCAAATAGGATTTTTTTTTCCCTCTGTCTATAGTGGATATTTAAAATTTTTCCATTCATTCTTGCACACCTACAGATTACCTGGCACTTGTCCAGTCTTTCTGCAGTCAACATCGCCCAGATTCCATGCAGAACCCTTTGCAGACTCCTGAGGAGGTACAGACAAGGAGTGTCCCTGTCCTCATGGTGCTACATGAAAAGGTACAGACAAGGAGTGTCCCTGTCCTCATGGTGCTACATGAAAAGGCAAGTGACCCAACAGGCAGCATTGGAGAAAGTGCCTAACTGTGGAAAGGCCAGTGGGAGAGGCTCGGTGGAGGAGGAACTTGCTGGACTAGAGAGGTCAGGGAAAGCTTCTTGGAGGAAGTGAGGTATGAGCTGGAAGTAGAAATACCAGGAAGCCCAGGGCAGGCTTGGGAATGGGCCAGGCATGCTCAGGTCCCAGGGCATAGAGTAACAATCTGGCTGGAAGAAGGAATGGAGGAACAAGCTGATAGGAGGGTGATTTCATGTGGACTGGACCCCATGTTCAGGAGGTGACCACATAAGCCAGGATGGGTGGATAGAGTTAGCTAATCCTGGAAGAAATCATGGAATAAAATTAAATATATGCATTGCTGGCTACAGATCCAGTTCCTCCTTCCCGGGTCTCTGTGTCCACCCTTCTTGGGGGCCATCCCACACCTCCCTGCTACTGCCACAACCTTTGCCCTTTCTAAGCAGGTGCTGGGTAGAGAAAGAG
Source organism: Homo sapiens (assembly GCF_000001405.40). Lineage (NCBI taxonomy): Eukaryota > Metazoa > Chordata > Mammalia > Primates > Hominidae > Homo > Homo sapiens. The sequence goes on from NC_000006.12 coordinate 159,109,981, forward strand.
GTACAGTGGAACTTGCCAAATGTCCTCGCCGTGCAACCTCTTGCAGAGGGCCATGTGTGATCTTCAGATCCCAAGATTTTCTTGATATTTATAAAAGCACCTTTGCCTCCATTCCCAAACTGAATTCTCCATCCCTGGGCTCCATCTTGAAGGGAAATGATCACAGCTGTGGCGATTGTGTGTCTCCTACTGGTGAGAGCTGGTAACTACAGCATCTAATTGGCCGTTTTCCAGACCTCTGCAGGGTAAGAGCCTGTGGGGAGCTGGTGTTGAGGTGGAATTCCAGCTAATATTTACTGGGTGTTTCCTACATGCTAGGCACTTTCCTACAGACTTACAAAGGCTAACTCATTTTCTCCTCATAGCAATCCTATGAGGTCAGTACTGTTGTTGTCCTTTTTTAATCCATGAGGAAACTGAAACACGGAGAGGCTAAAAATGTGCCTAAGATTCCCAGGATCAGGGAAGGCAATACACATGTTTGTTGTTGCAAACAAAATTGTGAGAAGGACCAGCTTTAGGGAAAGGCAGAGTGTGCCTGCTGTCACAGCACTGACTTTTAGCATTCGACTGCCTGTCTAGATTCTAGAGTTCTAGGAGTTCTTACTGATATAAATTGTAACATGGTGATCCTGGTGATTTAAAGAGTTAATGTTAAAACTCAATCATTTTGAAGGGTGCACATCATTTGACTCAACAAAATTTAAATACTTACTATCTGTAAGTTCCTGGCAGGATACTATAAAAATGAAAGAGACTGTTACAAATAACAAAGTTAAATTAACTCACAGTGTGGTGTCAGTGATAAGACATGTATAGAAATAATCATACTACAAGAGAGAATGTTCTAGAAGAATGCTATTAATGCTATGGAAACATAAGGCAGAGGCCATAGTGCAGATCTTAGAGGACTTCCTGGAAGGGTGACTTTTGAGCTGGGCTGATGGTGGAGATGGTTGGGAGGGGCAAGGGAAGGTGTGTTTTGGTGGAGGGTGTAGTGCTGGCAGAGGCAGTGAGGCAGGAAAGCAGAGTGGTGCTTGGGAGGCCAATTGAGGATTGAGGCTGCTTGCAGCTTAAGTGAGGGCAATTAGGGAAGACTAAACCTAAGGATGGGCCAGACCTCTAAGGAGTTAGGGATTTAAAATTATATTACATATAGTGAAAGTTTTGGATCAGGAAGGAGGGTCCAGAAAACAATAGATACATTTGTTGGTGCAAACAAAATTGTGAGCAGGACCAGCTTTAGGGAAAGGCAGTGTACTTACATGTCAGGTAACATTTGCAAAGACTCTCAAAGAGTGCAGTAAATAGAACATCCATACACCTGCCAGTGCCTGCCCAGTCTGAACAGCTTACCTGTCTGCAAACCTCCTTCCACTCCCTGCCACCAGGGCTGGTATTTCAACATTAAACACCAGGTGAGACAAGGGCTTGGATATGAAGAAGGCCCCAACTAAATTGTATATACAGCCATGAATCACTCAAAAACAGGGATACATTCTGAGAAATGTGTCTTTAGGTGACTTTTGTCATTGTGCAGACACCACAGAGTATACTTGCACAAATCTAGATGGGCCAGACCACTTCACACCTAGGCTATATGGTAGACCCATTGCTCCTAGGCTACAAACCTGTACAACATGTGACTGTACCGAATACTGTGGGCAATTGTAATGCAATTGTATTTGTACCTATATGGACAAGGTACAGTCAAAATACAGTAGAAAAGATTAAAAATGGTTCACCTGCATAGGACACTTAACATGGAGCTTGCAGGTCTGGAAGTGGCTCTGAGTGAGCCAGTGAGTGAGCAGGGAGTGACTGGGAAGGCCTAGGGCACTACTGCACACTACTGTACACTACCATACACTACTGTAGACTACTGCACACTACCGTGCACTACTGTAGGCTACTGCACACTACTGTACACTACCGTACACTACTATAGACTACTGCACACTACTGCACACTACCATACACTACTGTAGGCTACTGCACACTACTATACACTACTGTATGCTACTGTAGACTACTGCACACTACCGTACACTACCGTAGGCTACTGCACACTACTGTACGCTACTATAGACTACTGCACACTACTGCACACTACCGTACACTACCATAGGCTACTGCACACTACTATACACTACTGTACACTACTGTAGACTACTGCACACTACTGTAGGCTACTGCACACTACTATACACTACTGTACACTACAGTACACTACCGTAGGCTATTGCACACTACTATACGCTACTGTAGACTACTGCACACTACTGTAGACTACTGCACACTGCTATACACTACCATATAGTACTGTAGACTACTGCACACTACTGTACACTGTACACTACTGTACACTACTATACACTACTGTAGACTACTGCACACTACTGTACACTACTGTATACTGCTGTAGACTTCCGCACACTACACTACTGTACAATCCTATAGACTCCTGTACACTACTGTAGACTACTGTACACGACTGCACCCTACTATAGACTACTATAGACTTTATAAACACTGCACACTTAGGCTACACTAAATCTATAAGTTTTTTCAATAGTAAATTAACCTTAGTTTACTGTAACTTTTATTACTTTACAAACTTAATTTTTTTTCACTTTTTGACTCTTTTGTAATAACACTTAGCTTGAAACACAAGCACGGGGTACTCCTGCACAAAATTATTCTTTATATCTTTATTCTATATATTTAAATGTTTTAAAATTTAGTTTTACTTTTTAAACATTTTCATTTAAAAACGAAGACACAAACATGCACATTGTCCTAGGCCATCACGGGGTCATGATCATGAAGGCCGGAGTAGGGAGCAGGAATTTTTCAGCTCCGTCATAATCTCATGGGGCCACTGTTGTATATGTGGCCCATTGTCCACTGAAACGTCATTATGCGGCCCGTGGCTGTAGTTGCTTTGCGGGAAGAGAGGAGGCACAGACAATTGATAATAATGATAATACCAGCTGGAACCTCTTAGTCACTTGCTCTGGGCTGGGCACGGCTCTTGACATGCTCTATGGCAGATCTCATTTTATCTTGGCCATAACCCTTCAAGGCAGGGACTCTCATCATCCCTGTGTGACACAGGAGGACACTGAAGCCCAGAGAGGCCAATTGACTTACTCGAGGCCACACAGCTAACAAGCGGAGAGCTGGAATTCACTCCCAGGTTGCTCTGTGTGCCTGTCCTGTGGGTTAATGCCCAGACCAGATGCTCAGCTCTAACCGTAGAGGATCCACGGAAGCAGGGCCTGAGGACACAGGACACAGGTCAGGCCTTTTTCAAAGGACGTAGACAGAGACTGTCCAGAAAAGGAGGAGGCTCTTTGAAGGGAGTGAAGTCCTGGGTGAATCACAGAGCACAGAGGCTCCCTGCCTGTGTCAGCCTGGGCCAGCTTCCCAGGGAGCGTGGCCTGACCTGGCCTCACCTGAGAACCTGTGTGTGGCGTGTGAGCAGTGTGTATGCGGTGTGTGTGTGCTCACCGTGTATACAGCAGGTGTAGTGTGCAGTGTGTGTGCATGCAGTGTGCGTGCATGCAGTGTGCGTGTGCATACAGTGTGTGCAGCTAGAATATTACCCACTCTGGCTTTGAACCGCACTGGAAATTTCCATGTGAATAATTTCTTTTCCCAGTCACCTCATGAATGAACTCATTAAGTCATGATTGCAGCTAAAGCCTCTCACAAGATTATTTACCAGCAGGGCCACTAGCTGGGAAAGAGAAGGAATCACCAGGCAGAGCTCTTGCTGCAGGGTGGTGTCCCTGGCCCACCTGCACGAGTGGCCACCCTGCCATAGGGGCCCATCTGACAGCGTCTCTGATGACAGGAGCTCAAGAGCCTCCCACTGCCTAGTTTAGAAATGCCTTTACTTACATCATTTTAATCTTCACAAGGACACTGAAAGGCAAACGTTTTAATTGACATTCAACATACAAAACAACAACACTAAGCAAAAAGCCAACCTGAGATTCAGAGAGGTTACTTGGATTGCCTGAGGTCACACAGCGCAAGTAGGCAGTCGCCTAGGTCCTATGATTTACTGGATTCTTCTAAACTTCCTGTATTTAGATACTATTCCTATTACCATATGACCCAGCAGCAGTTACCCTTGGTATACCCCAAGATAATAAAGAACGTATGTCTGGCCAGGCGTGATGGCTCATGCCTGTAATCCCAGCACTTTGGGAGGCTGAGGTGGGCGGATCATGAGGTCAAGAGATCGAGACCATGTGGCCAGCATGGTGAAACCCCGTCTCTACTAAAAATACAAAAATTAGCTGGGTGTGGTGGCACATGCCTGTAGTCCCAGCCACTCAGGAAGCTGAGGCAGCAGAATTGCTTTTACCCGGGAGGTGGAGGTTGCAGTAAGCCGAGATCATGCCACCGCACTCCAGCCTGGCAACAGAGCAAGACTCTGTCTCAAAAAAAAGAAAAAGAAAAAAAAAAAAGAACATATGTCCACATAAAGACTCTTGTGCATGAATATTCACGACAGCCTTATTCATAATAGCCAAAGTGGAAATAATACAAATGTCTATCAACTAATGAGTGGATAAGCAAAATGTGGTTTATCCACACATTGGAATGTTATTCTGTTGTAAAAAGGGATGAAATACTGATTCATGCCACAACATAGATGAACCTTGAACCATTATGCTAACTGAAGAAAGCTGGACACAAAAGGCACATGTGATATGATTTCATTTATGTGAAATATAAATAGAATAGGCAAATCTGTGAAGACAGAAGGCAGACTAGTGGTTGCCAAGGGCTCGAGCATGGGGGCAGTGCAGACAGACTGCTAATAGGTATAGGGTTTCTTTCTGGGGTGAGAAAAACGGTCTGGAATTAGATAGCAGCGATGGTTGCACAATGTTTTGATATGTGAATTTTATCTGAAGGAAAAAAAGTAAAAGTAAAACAAAAGACAAAACCAAAAACCTGTATCTCTTGCATGGCATTGAATTCTCTACTCTCTGCCACATTGTCTGTATTTCTACCCATTAGAGAGCCTTTGAGTTGAGAAATGCCTCATTGAATAGGCAAATGTCTTCCCAAAGCTATTAGTCGTTTGCACCTTAGAGTGAATTGGTTCGGAGAGGTTCTGTTTCTCCCAACCACCGAGAGAAAGATGCTTGGGAAGGAGGATGAGCTGCTGGAAACCAGCTCTGAGGAAGGAGCCAGCGGGAGCCATTAGCTTGGCTAATGTGGGAATCCTGTTGTCTCTACCTAGGCCAGTGGCCTGGGCTCTGGGATCTGGGCATAGAGGTGGAATGGTCAGGTGGCCCTTACCTCAACGGGTTCCACGGGGTCATCCCCAGGGGGCATTGTTTGGCTGTTTTGAGCTGTCTGCTTTTCCTCTGCTAAGTCACAAAGTAATTCATCATAGACTCTTCTTTTGTTATTTATCCCTTTTAGGGATCAGGACAGCATAGTGTGTCCTCTGTCTTGAGAAGTTCGCATCCAGCTCTGCCATGGACCAGCCATGCTCATGGGTGAGTTACTTAACCTGTCTGTGCCTCAGTTTCCTGTCTGTAAAATATCAGTAATAATAGTTCTTATTACCCAATTGGTCTGGTTGATAGAGTATTACACAAGTTACTCTAGGTGGAGTGCTGAGATTGCTTCTGGCCACTTCATGAGGGCTGTGTACTTGATATTATTAACAATTGTAAGACATTTAATGAAGACTCTGAGTGGTCGGTTCATCTTTTTAAAAAGCTCATGGAAGGAATAAATTCATTCTCTGTTTTCTTTCAGATTGCCTCTCATTTTGCTACGGACAGGAGACAGGAAAATACTGGGTAGAAGAGGGCGGTTCCCGACAAAGGCCCCAACCTCAAGCCTGAAGACCCACGACCCTAAATGAGGACAGCCATTTCTGATTTTGTGCCCAAAAATTTGCCTTTTGGCCTGCCACACCCAACATCTTGCCCCTATATAAACCCGAGACCTTAGCGGGCACACACACAATCAGCCAAATGTTGGGATTAGCAGACCAGTGGACCAGCGGACCAGCAGACCAGTTAACGGTGGAACAACGCAGCAGAGAAAGAGAGAAGAGGAGGGATGTCTGAATGCCAAGGGGAATTCGGCCGCGGGCAGTTAGAAAAGTCTGGCTGCTGGGCGGCCCGACTCTAGGGGAAGACCACCTTCCCACTCCATCCCCTGTTCTGGCTCCCCATCCATCTCCCTGAGAGCCACCTCTACCACTCAATAAAACCTTTCATTCATCCTTTGAGCCCATATGTGATTTGATTCTTTCAGGACGCTCAGCAAGAGCTCAGAATATAGAAGGTTGTCTCAGTGGTCCCCTGCCCTTGCGATAAGGCAGAGGGTCCATTGAGCTGATTAAGACACAAGCCCAGATGGCAAATCTGAAAGAGCTTTATAATACACACCCACTTGGGCTTGGGGAGTCACAGACACCCATTCCTAGATGCTGCCGTGGGGCCAGAGCCCAAAAGGGCTTTCCCTGGCCTCTGCACCTGCCCATCTGCATGCTCCCCCCAGGGTTTTGAGCTGTAGGCGAGCCACACCCCTGTTGCGCGTCCTGCCAAGGGGAATTGGGGAACTCTACTGTTTCAGTTTCATGTTCCCCATATTTGTCTGTTAGGCAGAGACTGCTTTTGAGTAAATTTCTTACAACTAACAAAAGAAATACGTTCTACTTTAAATTATATCATAATTCTGTGCCCCAATGGAAATAAAGTTTCCAAAGGAACAACACTTTTATAATTTTAAATGCATTTTAAGAAAAACAGTTCCATGGGTTGAGGATGCAGGAACGAGTGATTCTGAGGGCAAGGCTGCAGTTCTCAGGCTTGGTTAGCCGTTTCTATGAAGTGAGAATTTTGGCCTGAGAACCCAGGTTGAACCTCAGATGTGAGTAGATAATTCCAAATCTAGGAAATGCAAGTCGGTTTCCTTCAGAGGAGTTGGGAGAGCAGGTGACTTCAACCTCCAGCTCAGTAAGTCAGGGACCCGAGACTTTTCTGAGGTGCTCAGGGAAGGTATTTCACCCAGTTCTGCGGGATGGTTGCTGTGTGTGTGGAGGGCTGAGGAGCACCTCCCATGGCTTGCCAGTGCCTTGACAATTGGAGTCAACTCAAGAAGGAACGCCAGGGCTCTGTACCTCTGGAAACTTGGCAGTGAGAGATGAGCAGAGACATTCCTGAGCTGTCATTTGGCAACAGTTCCCCATGGAGCATGGCCTTGCTCTGAAATCAGCCTGTGTCTCCAGTGAGAAAGCCTCTGGCAAAATATTGCTTCATTTCATGAAGTCACAGCCTGGGGGATCTTTCTCATTCCGGAACAATCTTTCTGAAGCACCACAGGCTGATTCTATTTCAATCAGCAACAACTGGATTTCGGGCAACCACCCAAGGAACCCTCTTTATTGATATTTCAGGCCTTTAAGTTATATTACAGTCATATTCCGGCAGATATGATATGTATCAATAAGTCATGCTACAACAGGACAATGATTTTCTAAATATGTGGGAAATCTTCACTGATTCATGGAATCGGGGGGTCGCTGGGTTGACCTTGTGCCCCAAACCATCAGAAGTGAAGATGGGTTTGCTAAGTCAGGGTGTCACCAGTGACTGCCTCTCTGTTACGCAAATCACTACATACTTAATGCCACGAGCTAGCCAGTTCCTGCATTGAGTCTGGGTGGCTACGCATCAGTGGAAAAGCATTGCTGATATCAGTCCCTCATGAGATGGTGCCCTCGTGGCCAAGCAGGAAACAGAATCAAGCACTGCATGTGGCCCTGACTTGGTGTGGGGATGGTGGCCTCAATGAGTTAGCAAGAGCAAGGGGCAGGTCATGATGTGACCCACAATGATTAGCAATAACGAGGAGGGGCCCTGGCTACCAAGAGGAAACTGACTCCTGCTCAGGGACTGTCCCTGTTGATGCCATGCCAAGATCATTCCATCCTTTGGCAACAGACCTGGTCTTGGACAACCACCAGCCCATGAAACTCTTTCTCCCGTAGTCTCTTTGGCTTCCCAAGGGAGCAAAGCACTAATCCTAATCTTTCAAATTGCTGTGCCTGGGACCAGCTAGGGGGAGACACCAAGTTTCCGTCTCAGGGTTGCCTGTGTCTCTCTGGGGGGAGACAGACCTCATAGAGGAGTCTAGAACAATCCCATCCCTAATCTTTACCAAAATGATAAATGACCAAAAACATCTCCGAGCCACCCTTGGAAAAGAAGATTATTTCCTCCTTCTCCAGGAGTCTCTGCCTGCTTCTAGATCCCTGGAATAACCCTTATTTTTAATTCATCAGGATTAAAAAGAAAAGAACTCATTATGGGGTAATTCTGAGTTTGGGCGTTAGCAGAGAGCAGGGTGGGACTGGGTACAGGAGCATTCTTAGTGCTCATGGCCCTTGCCCAATTCTATTCCTCTCTGTGCTTCTTCTCATCCCCTCCCCAAGCCCATCAGGTGCTGAAGAGGCCATGGGAAAACCCATGCTCCCTAGTGGCCCTCCAGTGGCTCTCCTTGTGGACGCTGTGGCCTCTTTGTTATAAGCATTATAGGCAGTGCATGATAAGAAACTTAACTATGAAGGGAAAAGCCAGATATAAACATTTAAAATGACAAAGATACTGCAAGACAGGGCAAGAATCTCTCCCTTGATATCTAGCAGTGAAAGAGGAAGGAGGATGCCCACCTTGGGACAGACCGTGAGGCCAAGGCTGAAGGTTAAATGAACTCCCTAACTGCAAACTAGACCAGCCCCCATATGTCCTTTAGCTGTATCTTCTCTTCCAAAATCTTATACTGTAGCAATTTTAGGTCATTGTCCTTAGCTTTGAAATTGTTTAAAGAAACTGAAGGAATAGCAAAAATTTAGGTTGCTTTTTCTTCTGCCTGAAATTTTAGAAGATTCTTCAAAGAAGCCTGTCTGAACTGAATACCCCAATATCACAGGCCACATACAACTTGTATTTATCTGTTCTCATGCTGCTATAAAGAACTTCCCAAGACTGGGTAATTATAAAGGAAAGAGCTTTAATTGAATCACAGTTCCACAGGGGCTGGGCAGGCCTTAGGAAACTTACAATCATGGTGGAAGGGGAAGGAAACACACCCTTCTTCACATGGTGGTGGCAAGGAGAAGTGCAGGGTGAAGCGGGGGAAAAGCCCAGAATAAAACCCTCAGATCTTGTGAGAACTCACTCACTATCAGGAGAACAGCATGGAGGCAACGGCCCCTGTAATTAATTTACCTCCTGGCAGGTCCCTCCCATAACATGTGGGGATTATGGGAGCTATAGTCCAAGATGAGATTTGGGTGGGGACACAGCCAAATCGTATCACTACTCTTGCTTTTATAAGATTAAAAATGGTGAACTCTAACAAATGATTTTTTTTTGCAAATTTTTTTTTTGCAAAGCAGTTAGTTCTTAGTCACTAATCAATTTATCTACTTTTTTCAAAAAAACCTTGTTCATGTAAAGTGACCCATTTCTCTCACCTACTGTGTCTCATCTGAGAGCAAGCCTTGTTGATTTCTTCTTCCGAAGTATCTCACAAGCTCCCAGTTCTCTTGGCTACCACCCAGGCCCTCATCTCTCCTGTGTGGCTTACTGTAAAACAGCAAGCTCTCTACTTCCTCCATCCCACCCTCTCAATGGCAGGCAGGTTTTCATTTTAAAGCACAAATCCAATCATGTCACCTTCCTGTGGGGGAGTGGCTTGTCATCACCCATGCCATAGGTTCCCAGCAGTTCACAGGGGAGCACAGGCCTTTTGTCCTGGAACCCCCTTTGTTTTGTGACCCCAGGTCTGGGTCAGGATATTCCCCTGGCTTGCAACACTCTTCCCTGCCTAGAAGACCCAGCCCAGTGTCATCTCTTCTAGAAACTCCCCTGTTTCCTCAGCGGGGAGGCCTCCTTCTCGGTCCTCTCCTGGCCACTTTGCCCTCCATGTTAGTGCTGACCACACTGCACTGGCTTCGATTCCACATTGGTTTCTCCACTGGCCGTGAGCTCTTTCGTAAGGGCAGCTCTGTGTCCCACACGCAGCACACATCTGACCAGTGCTTGTGGCATGAATGCGTATCAGAATGACAGGGAAGTTGCTAAATGTAATTAAAAAGAAAAAGCAACTTATGAAACTTCTGTTTCCAAGAGTGCAGGACATGAGACAGGAGCTTCTCAGTGGGCCTGTTTAAAGTGAGTGGTAGGCTTTTGCTATTCCTACTGGTTACACAGACCCTTCCCCTTCTTAAGTCTTGAAGAGCAATTTGGTTTTCTGCAACAATTTCTGCTCTGAATTTGGGCATGCACCAGAGGTTGTTGCTGCCCCTTTAAGTTTGGCTGTGTGGTTTAAATGTAACCCTCTCATCCTTCCTCCTTCTCCTTTGCTCCAAGATGGAGGGTTTCACAGAAAACACTGCGGGGATCTTATAAAGAAAGAAGTCCATCCCTTAAACAAATTAAAGTTTCATTTCATTTGACAAATGTTGAATTCATTTAACATCAACAAATACTGACGATTTCAATTTACTGTCATTTGTAAATGAATTAACAAATTATAATTCATTTAACATCAACAAGTATTGTCTGGGCCGTTACTCTTGTATACTGACTTGTAATTGTTCTTGATCCTAAACTAAATTTGGATCCTTATGTTCCTGAAAATATGAAGACTTGTTATTTTTCTTCTATCCCAATGTTTCTTTCTAATGAAACTATAAAATCACTTTGAGAACCCTTTATGACACTATCCCGTATGATTTACTGCCAGCACTTAGGAGATGTGACGCCAAGCCAGAGAAGTGGAGGACACAAACATGGAGGAAAGGTTTAAATTCTTGCTTAGAACACAAGATCCCAACTCCCAGGCTCAACAAATGTCCCTTCCTCCTGCTATTGCTTCAGTTTGAGATTTCTAAAGAAATATTTCTTTAAGAACTTAAAAGAACTGTATGTTGATTTTAGAAAAATATAGATAAAAAGAAAAAAATCTACAAAATTTCTACATCAAAGCTAATCACTGTCAGCATTTCAATGCAGCTCTTTCCAGATATTCATATAAACATATTCTTCTAGACCTCTATATAAATTAAAATTGGATCAATCAATATACTTTTTTTGAATAACGGTCTTTAAGTTGGAGACTATTTTTGTCCCCTTTGGGATGGAGGTTTGCTGTACTCTATCTCCCTTAACATGTGAGGGCTCAACCTACTTCAGGCTGAAATCTCCCTACTTACCCTGTGCTTTGTAGCAGGGACACCACAGCTTTCCCCCTTGGGTGCTCTGGGAGGCTGGGGACCAGGCATGGTGGTGCCACTCCAAGAGGGCCAGGAGCTGAGCTTAGAGTCTCAGGATCACAGTGGACCGGAGCAGGCAGAACACACGTGGGCCATTCCAGACAGAGGTGCCCTGAGAAGGGCTATTCCAAGCAGAAGACACATGTGCCTGTGCTCACTCATTGGTGTGCTCTCTCTCTGCCAACTAACTAGAAAGTAGCAAGTTCTCTTTTCTTCTCTCTCATCCTAAACTTGGACTGATCTGCCAAGTTCTTAGGAAATTCATGCCACAAGGGTCTATTTTCAGCAAATGTGACTTGTAGGGTTATCCTTGAGCAAAACAGTTCAGCCAAGCACCCACCTCTCTTTGCCGAGGCTTTGGTCACATGTTGGACGCTTACCCAGGGGCACAATATGGAGAAGTGATTGGAAAGCTGGGCTCTCTTCCCCCACATGGAGCGCAGTGGCTCCGCGAGTGATGGCTTTTTATAGCCTGCACAGGTGGTTGTGCTGCAAGCCCCTTTCTGGAAGGCAGAGTGCTCTGCTCCTCACCCCTGCTGGGAGAAACCTGTTAAGAGAGAAGAGAAGCTCAAATAAATGACTTGCCTTCTCCTGGGAACTGAAAGTGCATTGACATTTTCAAGGTTTTCCTTACTGGAGATCAGATATTGGACTGAATCCATTCTAACAGGTAATCAAGAGAAAATATGTATTCTTTAAGAATTTTCTATCAGTAACAGTGTTAGTCTTTGAGAAGAGCCCTCAGAATTTGACTTAGTTGCAACTTGAAAATTAATCTGGTCCATACTGCTCATTTCCTAAATAAATGAAGACTCAAAATCAGTAATTTCTTCAAGGTGTCGAAGTAGCCAGATTTTGTTTGAACTTTATTTATTTATTTATTTGTTTTTTTTATGGAGTTTTGCTCTTGTTGCCCAGGCTGGCGTGCAATAGTGTGATCTTGGCTCACTGCAACCTCCACCTCCGGGGTTCAGGTGATTCTCCTGGCTCAGTCTCCCAAGTAGCTGGGATTACAGGCATGCGCTTCCATGCCAGGCTAATTTTGTATTTTTCTTTTTTTCAGTAGAGATGGGGTTTCACCATGTTGGTCAGGCTGGTCTTGAACTCCTGACCTCTGGTGATCCACCCACCTCGGCCTCCCAAAGTGCTGGGATTACAGGTGTGAGCCACCGTGCCCAGCCTGTTTGAGCTCTTATAGTTTGCCAGCACATTAAAATATAGTCTTTGCTACTGCATTCATCCTTGGCCTTGGAATACAGTTGGCATTCCATACCAAGGTGCATATTCTATTAATAGACGCATTTAGTTTGTCTGGGTGCCACACATACGCAACAGACATCTAGTGGGAGTAGAATGACTTTCTCTATTGACCTTTGTACAGACTGAAGCTCATAATAGTGGTTTCCAAATACAGAAGCATCTGTTAAAAATTCAAAACTGAAGCTCCCTTCTTAAGACTGCATGTTAAGGAAATCATACCTTTATCTTTAACCTTCTTTATTATTATTATTTTTTTTGAGACAGAGGCTTGCTCTATCGCCCAGGCTGGAGTGCAGTGGCATGATCTTGGCTCACTGCAACATCTGCCTCCCAGGTTCAAATGATTCTCCTGCCTCAGCCTCCCGAGTAGCTCGTATTACAGGTGTGTGCCACCATGCCTGGCCAATTTTTGTATTTTTAGTAGAGATGGGGTTTTGCCATGTTGGCCAGGCTGCTCTCAGACTCCTGATCTCAGGTAATCTGCCTGTCTTGGCCTCCCAAAGTTCTGGGATTACAGACATGAGCCACCACGCCCGGCCTCTCTCTTTAAATAATGTGGAAGGAGAAGAATGATTTCGGTGCAGGAAAAGAGAAACTGAAGTTAGTTTGGCACAGATTCTCAGTTCTGCAAGTTAAATTGCCTCTATTTCAGATTTTTCTGCACTGAGGTATTTACACGTTTATTAATTGAAAGGTAAAGTAATCTGACATAAAGACAGCCTCTAGTGGGATGGCCTGTGTAAGTGGTCTGCTCTGTTACAGCATCTCCACTGCTTTCTCAGGGCCATCCTCATTGTTGTGGGGAAGTTGTGTTAGGACGTGGTGCTGCCCCTGGCCATATTTGCTTGGTTTAGAGGTGGATGAGTGGCTCTTCCTGGGCCAGGGATGTCTCCATGCTGCTCCTGGCCATAGTAAGTCCTTGGTTCAGGAATAACCACCAGACCCAAATTAGGATACAGCTGTTTTCTGCGAATTTTGCAAGTGGAATGAAGAGACGAAACCATCTCTTAAGTGTTAGGATTGTGAGAGGAAAAGTTGGGGATCCTTCAGGGGACCATTTGCCCCCCATGTGTTCTTGGGGAGGGGAGAGCAGCTTGCAAGAAGAAGGAGCAGAGCAGGAGGGGATGGAGGGGCTCTCTTGGCAGTGCCGCCTCCTGGGTGTCCAGGTGTTTTCTAATTTGGGTCTTGTGACTCTTTCCAGAATCTTCTTGTCAAATCCTAAAATCAATCCATTGTACAGGAAGCAGTTAGGGATGTGTATTAGTCTGTTTTCATGCTGCTGATAAAGACATACTCAAGACTGGGCAATTTATGAAAGAAAGAGGTTTAATGGACTCACAGTTCCACATGGCTGGGGAGACTTCACAATCATGGTGGAAAGTGAAAGACATGTCTCACATGGCAGCAGGCAAGAGAAAAGAGCTTGTGCAGGGAAACTCCCTTTATAAAACCATCGGATCTCATGAGACTTATTCACTATCATGAGAATAACACAGGAAAGACCCTCTCCATGATTCAGTTACCTCCCACCGGCTCCCTCACACAACATGTGGGAATTGTGGGAGCTACAGTTCAAGATGAGATCTGGGGGGTGGACACAGCCAAACCATATCAGGCTGATTTCTACAATATTTGACTAAAAACTTTTTAATGTATGTAGTTCATATAATTAATTTTCTGCTAAAGAACTTCTAGAAGACAAAATAAAAACCTTTCTTTATGCATTTAAACAGAAAATGGCATAACCTACAGATAGCATTTACTCAGAGGGCGGTTAATCATTTTTTACAAACATGCAGAGTTTGGTAATAATGGCAAGGAAATCTCCTCTCCTCAGCCCACTCCCCAGGATGCAGGACACTCACAATTACTTTAAAATTATGTTTTTGAAGATGTTTCTTCTGTTCCATGTTTCCTGAAGGGGTATTCTTATCTGTTGTCTTATTTCTATTTTTGACTCTAAAATTAATCTTCGGTATTATCACTTTGAGTAGACATTATTATAAAAAGTAAACAGATACTTATCTATATTATCAAAAGTATAATTTGCTACATAATTTATTTATATTTAAATAGAATGTTTTATATTTACATTATAAAAATTAACTATGATTAGTAGAGAATATTTGAAAAATGTAGAAAAATAGAGGCAGATAGATAAATGCTGGTCATATTTTGGTATATTTCTTGTCTGATCCTTTTCAATGCATTTTTACATAGTTGTGATTCTTTTAAAGACACAATTTTGTTTCCTGGTTTTTTTCAGTTAAGATAAAATAGCATACACATTTCCATATTCATCACAAGTTTTTTATGGTTTTGTTATTATGTATTTTTTAATGTTATGGATGCACTGTAATTTAATCTGCCCACATAATTTTAAGGAATTAGATGGTTTCATATTTTTAACAATCATAAACAATGCTATAATAAATATGTTTGTAGGTACTTTTATAATATTTAGGATTATTAGCTTAGAACAAATTACTAGAAGTGTATTTCTGTACTAAAGCTTCTGATGATTTGAAACCTATTTATGCATGTTACCACTACAAAAGGATTGCACCTATTCATTCCCCATCTAGTGTTGTTTAAGTGTGCCCACTTGCCCTGTGCTCGCCAGCAGAGGGGGTGCTCATATTTAAAAATCTTTATTAATTTGATAGGGGAAAATTTTTTACCTTATAACTTGCTTCTATAAACATTATTGTAAGATCGAACATTATACAAATGTTTGTTAACCAGATGTATGTATTTCTTCTTTAATGATTTTTCTATTCGTGCTGCTATTGCAGGCATTTAAATGAAGGACTGTTTAGGTGAATGGCAGGAAAGTGGCATCTGACAGTCAGCCTGATGTGGTTTTCCCTCGGTGCCATGGAAATACTCATGGTGACGCAGAAAATTATGAAAATTAATAGCACCACCAAAAATTAGTACTAGGAGGGAAACTATTGCTGAACAGGGAAGAACATTCCAGAGCACAAATGTCTCCTCTTTTTATTTTGCTCCAAAAAAAATTTGTTAAGCAATATATCCATAATCCATATCATGATTCAAAAATACAGAGAACATCTGTACATTATTTAATAAAAGTACAATATTATTTTTCCTTTACAAAGAGAACACAAGTAATAATTCCTTGAAAGTAAAATGTAACATTCATCTTAAAGCTGCATCAACTTTTTGGATGAAATGTGGTTAAAATGAATACCATAAAATACATAGGAAGAAAGAAACATCAGTAAAACTCTCCTCTGAATGGCAATAGTTATCTTACATTTCCCCTGCCTTAAAATCCCACTTGGCACACATAATGAAGGCTAATCACTGTTGACTAAAAATTAGGAAATTAAGGAAAACCTTAAGCCTTCAATGCCCATAATAAATGTGCCTCATTGTTTTATTCTAAACCATGATGACCTAACCTAGGACAGGGCAGACCGCTGGTTCTGTGGTCATGTGGGAAGCTGCTCTGGGCCAACATTATTGCTCAGAGCAGCCCCTGCCAGGGCTCCTGATGACATGTCAGGAGGCCAAGTGCAGTGGGGATATTGAACAGGAGACAAGCTGTCTGCTGTCCCCATCCATCCCAGCAAGCCCTCCCACTGTTGCTGTCTGTACAGCTGCTTTCGCTGTCCCAGGCAGACTGGAAGACACCCAGCCCCCGTGGCCCTGGCCAATCAATACCGGTCTTATGTCCACTTGTCCAGGGGCTCTGCCTAGCACGAGATGGACAGTCAGCTGCTGCTCAGACAGCCATGAGTCTCCCTGCTTGGCATCTGTGTTCCAGGCAGCAGCACCATGAGCATATTCACAGATACTGGGGTCTCAGTTTAACCAACTCTTTTTTTTTCTTCAATGCAGCGTGCTTCCTCGTATAGGAAAACCGGAGGATTTCCTCAAATTGCTGAGTGATAATGTAGCACTGAGACCAGGGAAAATGATTTTGCTTCTCCTCTGAGTAAAACACTGCTTTCCTTACAGGTAAATCACACAGCCATGGAGGCACCCACATCTTTGGCTCAGATGAAGCTGCCAGAGTGACCCACTGGGTCCAGCGCAGATGCCCTCAATTCAAGAGATGGGTCTGGAGCTGGGCAGGTGTGGAGGGGGGTCTGGTCCAAGACTAAGTCCCTGAATCACCCCTGGGAAGAGAGCGGCCAGGCCTTCTGGAGCAAGGCTCGGATGATGCAAGCAGTGTGACTCCTGTGTCCTTGCAGAGCTGGGGCCTGGCCAGGCAGCATGACCTTCTTTTCCAACTGAACGGCCACTCCTGAGTGTCTGTCTCACGGGCAGACAGCCTTTCTGCCTAGAGAAAAGCATTTGGTCAGGGTCCAAACTGTGTCCCAAGGAACTGTCTTATTCTGCTCACATTTTCTGTTTTTTTTTTTTGCCAAAGCTATATGTGTATTATTTTGGTAATATTATTGTAACTGGTAAAAGTAAACACTAAGAAGAGATAAGCACAGAAACTTAAAAAGAAAAAGTCAAAATTCAATACATGGGACAGTGCACAGTGGCAGCCAGGATGGCATCATTGCATGTTAAACAATAGCTTCCCACACAGAAGCCAGTCACCTTTCCTAAGAAGGCAGCGAGACCTCAGGAAGCCAGGCGATGATCGAAACTTAACCAGCCACCAGAACCTGCATCAGCGACACCAGGTCTTTCTGGTGACAGCAGTGAGAGTGAATGGTTCAAAAGTGGAGTGCAAACATCAGATTCACTTCTTCTTTTTTTTTTTTTTTAGATGGAGTCTCGCTCTGTCACCCAGGCTGGAGTGCAGTGGCGCGATCTCGGCTCACTGCAACCTCCACCTCCTGGGCTCAAGCAATTCTCCTGCCTCAGCCTCCTGAGTAGCTGGGATTACAGGCGCCCGCCACCATGCCCGGGTAATTTTTTTATTTTTAGTAGAGACAGGGTTTCGCCATGTTGGTCAGGCTGGTCTTGAATTCCTGACCTTAGGTGATCTGCCTGCCTTGGCCTCCCAAAGTGTTTGGATTACAGGCATGAGCCACTGCGCCCGGCCATCAGATTCACTTCTGAAGAACCGCCGGGTGCTGTTTTATCACAAACTCCCTGCACTTACCTATTTCTCTCCACAACAAATGGTAGAAGAGTGAAAAAAAATTTTCCCCACAATTTATTCTCCATAATCTCTAAACATCCGTGTTAACAAAAAGCTGTCACTAAATAAAAATACATCTTTAGTTTCACGGCTGTGGCTGAGACAGGTGTGTGGAGCGGTGCGGCTGGCTCCCTCTGGGGCCTACCTGACCCTTTTTCTTCTGAGCTGCAGGAAGGCACCGGGTCTGAGGGAGCCCCTTCCGGCCTGGGACCCATGGGGTGAGCTGCAGCAGCGGCCGACCACCCACCTGCACCTGCCTGGCACCTGCCGCCTGGGAAGGGTCCGCTTGTGCCCACTGACCATACCCACCAGCATCCGAGAGCACACCCTGCTCTCTCAGCTGGCTCCCGGGAAGCACAGGCAGTCCAGAAACATCCCTGGAACCAGGGGACCAGGAACCACGGGATCATGGATGTGGAGACCGTCCTGACCAGGACCGTTGTGGGATGTTCTCGTTCTCATTCACTCCCTGTGAACCTCCTGCGGGGAGGGTCCCGTCTGAGAGACAGAGCTTCACAAGTCCCTTTCTGCTTTATTTCCTGTCTCAGTGACACATTAGAAAACAGGAGGAAAAGATATCATAGCTGCAGCCACCGGAAGGAAGCGAGGCTATCATTCCAAATGACCCTCCTCATAAAGAAAAACGGACTTAAACTGGGAATTTCACGTCTCAGTTGTCTCCTAGGTTTCTTTCTCTGGTGTGAGGACAGAAACAGGCTTCCCTGCCTTCCCCAGGAACCTCTCCCTCCTCTGAAGGCCTGGGAGAGCATTTCTGAGAGCTTGCAGTGCTCTTGGGAGCCACACTAGGCACCATCACAAACGTATCACAACAGACCGCACGTGTGCATTCTTCCCCAGCTAGCACCAAAAAGAAGATTCCAAATCGGTTTGGTGAATGGTGGTTAAACAAAAAGTACAGTCTAGCTTCCTAGTTTCCTTCCAGAACTGCTGCTGTGGCACAACCAATTCACATCAAGGAATCCTCTGGGACGTGAGCTGCGGGCCTGGCGACGCGCAACACAAGCAGGGCAGGGCATTCATTGTTCATCGGCTCCTAGCAGGTGGACTCTCTTCACAGACACACAGACCCACGATCTTCGTGCTATTACGGTTGCTTCATCTTCACAGTAAAAGCGTCAGGAATTCCCAGAGCGATGGGACATCAGCTCGGCTGTTCCGCTGTCTCTTGTCGGTGCTGGTCACGGAACCAACAGCCCCTTTGGTAATGAAGAGCTCTTTACTCCTGAGGGAGGACTGAAGTCCAAGCCAAAAGGCAGGGCACAGTGACGCAGAGGCCACTCCCTCAGGGGATGAGCCCCCTGCCCTCCCCAGGCCCATCAGAGGCCTCCCCGACAAGAGTGCTCGGTGGCCGGAACCGGCAGGGAGCTGAGTGCGAGGAGACCCGGGACACCGCTGCACTGGCCCCGCACGCGCGTCTCAGTGGCGGGTGTGCTCCTGCGGTGTTGGGACGCATGGAGCCCGTGCTGTACGAAACAGTCGTAGAAAACTACAAACAGGCTACACGAGGGGGAGGCCTCGAGCTGCAAAGTGGTGGCTGTGGACCACGTTAAACCGTCTCTACCCGGCCTGTGCGCTTGGCCTGGCAGCCTGAGCTCACAATCGTCCGACCACGTCCACTGGACGCCCTCGGTGACTGCTGGGCACATACGGGGGTCATCCTATCAAAAGTTACGGTGAAGTCAGGGTGGGTGGCGAGTCCCTGCAAGGTCGCCCCTCTGTGCCAACACAGCCTGATGGCTTCTTGTTTCAGGAAACATCCAGAATTACAACTGGCCATTGAGTTATTACATATCAATTGAACAAGGTAGTTTTAAAATGAAAGAAAATCTTGCAACATGAATAAAGAGATAGACTCTTTGAATCTGGCATACAGCTTTCCCTTCCTTCTTCCTGCTTTCCTGGACACACCGTGGACAGACCCATTTCCCTCTGGATTCATGGTAAGGTATGTGTGGCCTCTGGAGGAAGGCAGATGGTGGGTCTTACTCCGGTTACAGTGCTTTATTTACCAAATCGTAGCTACACTGCCTTTCCCCCTGCCAGAAAAGGTTGTCGAACTCTTTTATCTTGGAGCATTTATGGGACCTGGATCCCACTGCGTGATTTTGGGAAATGCTTGTCTAAGGAGCTTTCAGGCTCTGTGTGAAGAGCTATATATCCAGCCATGGTGCTTTCATGAGTAAAGACATTAGAAAGACTTTTTCAAATACCAAAGGGTCCAGAAATATTCTCTTAGTGGCTCATTCTATTCATTTTGGGTCCTGGGGCAAGAGAACAAATAGTAATCTACATACCTGTACTTAAGTGGTGTTGATAAATCACACTTCAAGGTAATACACTCTTAAGTAAAATATATCCTCTCATTTTTCATGATTACTTGAAGGCCCTGGTGGAAGCTCTGCTCCAGGACAAGGGGACGCCAGTCACCTGTGGCGCCATCTCAAGGTGGCATCGCGTGGAGCTGGGTCCTGCTCTTACTGCCGCCTGACAGCAGTGCCCAGCCTGGCTCGGTGCCTCACCTGCCCCTGCCCCACCATCAGCGCTTTCTTAACAGAATAGCAATGCCGTTCCGGTGTTCTTCCATTCCCAAGCCACTGCGTGTGTCTCTGAGGAAACTGCCCCTTCCACTGTGGGAGGTCCGGCCCTGATTAGTCGCCAGAGACACACCTGGCAGGAGGCCCATGTGGACCCTGAGAGCAGACTTAGGGCCTCTGTGGCCAGGAAT
The DNA here is from genome assembly GCF_000001405.40 of Homo sapiens. NCBI lineage: Eukaryota > Metazoa > Chordata > Mammalia > Primates > Hominidae > Homo > Homo sapiens. The sequence continues at coordinate 159,130,447 of NC_000006.12, forward strand.
TCCGGGGCCCTGGGTGTCAGGAGGGGACCAGAGGGGCACATGGTCTGTGGTGGGCACACCTCTCTGGCCTTTCGGATTCCTCAGCTGGTGGGAAGAAGTGAAGCCAGAGAGAGGCCAAGCATCACCCTCCAAAGCGGAGGCTGGGAGCAGAGGCTGCACGCTGGGCTGTGAGGTGGGGCTGCCCTGAAAATCTTTCCTGAAGATGTACCTCAACCAGGTGAAAGATGGACTGAGAATGAGAAAATGATGCTAGAACAGGGCGTGGGACTTCCCACAAGCCAGGGCTTCTCCAGATGTGGCCTATGGACTCCCAGGTCAGCACCACCTGGGACCTGGTGAAGAACGCACCCTGGCAGGCCTCGCCCCAGACCCGGGAATCCTAGAGAAGGGGTGGCCCAGCAGTCTGTGTTTCCACAGGTCCCGAGTGCTTCTGATGCAGCTGCTGAGCAGACCCCGCTCATCTCAGGAGTCCCGAGGACACTCGCTTCCCTGCAGCCCGTCCGCCCTCCATAAGCCTGGGGGCATCTGCCCTGCAGCACTGGGGAGGAGCCACCTCCTTGTCTGGGAACAGCCAAGCCTCCGTGACAGCTGAGGATTCTTGTGGATTGTTCTTTCTGTAACTGGACAGCACATCCGGAATTCCTTGCCATAGCTCTGTGCCTTGCTGGGGTCTGAGGTTCACAGGTCAGATGCTGCTGTCTGGTCCTTCCCAATTGCGGCGTGAATTCCTTCATCCTCACCAGTAGCTTCTTGCTCTCCCCAAGGGAGGCACGTGCTTAGTAGGGAGAGAGGCCTACCAAGGTTGCCATCTGCCATGGGCTCAATTGTGTCCCCAACCCCCCTGCAAATTATATATTGAAGTCCTCGCCCCCAGTACCTCAGAATGTGGTTGTACTTGCAGACAGGGTCTTTAAATAGGTGATGAAGTCAGTATGAGGTGATTAGGGTGGGCCCTAATCCACGATGATGGGAGTCCTTGTAAGAAGGGAGTAGGACACAGACATGTATGGAGGGAAGACGCGGGCAGAGGAGGGCTGTCTGCAAGGCAAGGAAAGGGGTCATCGGAAGACAGCAACCCTGCCACACCTTGATTTTGGATTTCCAGCTTCCAAAATGGAAAGAAGATGATTTTTTTGTTGTTGCTGCTCAAGCCCCCCAGTCCGTGGCAGTTTGTCATGGCCACCCCAGGTGACCAAGACGCCATTCCATCTGACCTGCTCCCTGGGCCTGTCTTTCTGTCTGGGTGTCTGGTTTTCCTGCTGTGCTTTGTAACCCCCGGATCTGATTCCTGACCTCCGTCTTATTTGGTGTTTACAGCAGCCACTCCTTGGCACGCTTTGCTGTTTTGATAAGTGTAACTTTTGTCCCTTCCCCTAAATACTAAAGAAAGTTGCATCAGGTTTAAGAAGCATCCCTTCCTCTCAGTCGTGGCTGGGGATTCCTCGGCCACCACATTCTGTTATTAATGGCTTATGTTGTGTGTGGTCCTCTGGTCTCTTGTTGGTCTTTGAATGTTTTCTTATCCAAGCCTACAGGGTGGTAGCCCCACCTCTAGTGGCCCCTAGCTGTCTTTAATCTTGTGTATGAAATTAAAATATCCAGGACCATGAAAACTGAGTGCTGAGAGGCTCTAATTGTGGCATATTTTACAAACACACGTGCACCCATGAAGACTTTTGGTTGAATTACAATTGTATGTGGATATACCTGCCTCTAGTACACAGCACACTGAGTTTTTCTAGGATGGGGGCTGTGTTATTTTTCTCTCTGTAGTCCCAGACTTAGGAGGATGCCTGGAATTTTCTAGGTGTGTAATTGTTATTTTTTTTTTTTGAAAGAATGGATGTTTATGAGGGAGTGGAAACTCCAAGTTTAAAGAAACAAAACCATAATTTCCCATAATTTCAGCTTTACCAAACTTTCCTACCCAAAGGCCGGGACTTATCTCTTGACACAAAACTTTGTAAATAGATTAGACCGCTTGTGGTCATTCTTGGAGCAGCTTCTCTCTATGCACTTGACTTCTGAATGCAACATTGATTTTGATTCTTCACCCTCCTCTCTTTTTACTTTGGCCCCTTTCAGGGTACACAAACTGCTGTCAAGGTCAGATTCATGGACAGGATCCAGGAACAACCATTTCCCACCCTGGGCCACACAGAAGAAAAAGATACTTTGTGATTTCTGGTGCAAAGCAGAGATGAGGCTTTGTCTTGTGGCTGGAAGAGAGAGGGGGCTTGGGCAGAGAAGCTGGCAGAGAGGGTCCAAGGCAGGGGACGGGAAGGCTCTGGCACCCTTCCAGAGAGGGCACCTGTGGGAGGAGTTGTGAGGGGCTGGGCTTTGTGAGGCCTGGGGCCCAGGCGATCAGGCGATCCTGCTTTGGAGGCAGAGATGGCGCAGTGCCCCGGAAAATGGAGAGGAGGCCCTGCCCTCCACCCCACGCCTGTGGCAGCGGCAGGGAGTCTGTGGCACCGGGGGCTGGAGCAAGCACCGAGGGCAGAAGGGGCGGCGGGTGGCTGTGGGCAGGACACACGGGAAGGGTTTGGCCACAGTCCACACGGGACGCCCCTGGGGTTCCAGCCACAACAGGGAAGGCTGCGAGGCAGGGCTGAGGGATGGCTCCTGCAATGTGGGTGTTGTTGCTGACCAGCCCTGGTTCTCGCCTCAGCCACCTCCCTGCCACAAAGGCTATGATATTTTCCCCCAGGAAAGTCAATGTGGCTGCACAGACATTTCTTATAAAGCTACATCACACCCCCACCAGGGGCTGCATTACAGGTATTAGGATCCCCATTGCTCCTTTCCACCACATCTTCCCTGGTGCCCCTTCGCTCGTCATTCACAGTGGTGTCCTGCCCTTCCTCCCGGCTCCTTACACCTTCATTTTCTCCAGCATCCGCTTAGTATTGATTTCTCTCGTGTTTTCACATATTGGTTTTGTTTGCTGAGCCAGATCATGGGGAGCTCTGTGAGGATGGGGAGCTTGTCTTACATATCTTCCTCATTTTCTATACCCAAACACCTACCACATGGGAGCACACAGCTGCCACTCAGGAATTGCTTGGTGGGTTGAATGAATGGCTTAGAAAGCAGAGTTCTTCCTTAGTTCGTTTTCTTTCTTTCTTTCTTTCTTTCTTTCTTTCTTTCTTTCTTTCTTTCTTTCTTTCTTTCCTTCTTTCCTTCTTTCTTTCCTTCTTTCTTTCTTTCTTTCTTTCTTTCTTTCTTTCTTTCTTTCTTTCTTTCTCTTTCCTTCTTTCTTTCTTTCTTTCTTTCTTTCTTTCTTTCTTTCTCTTCTTTCTTTCTTTCTCTTTCTTTCTTTCTTTCTTTCTTTCTCTTCTTTCTTTCTTTCTTTCTTTCTTTCTTTCTCTCTCTCTCTTTCTTTCTTTCTCTTTTTTAAATGTAACTTTCATTTTAGGTTCAGGGGAACATGTCCAGGTTTGTTATACAGATAAACTATGCAGGTTTGTTGTACAGATTATTTCATCACCCAGGTACTAAGCCTAGTATCTATTAGTTATTTTTCCTGATCTTTGTCCTCCCACTCTCCACCCTCCGATAGGCCCGTGTCTCTTGTTCCCCTCTATGTGTCCTCAACATTTAGCTCCCACTTCTAAGTCAGAACATGCCTTGTTTGGTTCTCTGTTCCTGCATTAGTTTGCTAAGGATAATGGCCTCTAGCTCCATTCACGTCCCTGCAAAGGACATGATCTTGTTCCTTTTTATGGCTGCATAGTGTTCCATGGTGTATATGGACCACATTTTTTTTTATCCAGTCTACCATTGGTGGGCATTTACGTTGATTCCACGTCTTTGCTATTGTGAACAGTGCTGCAATGTATACACACATGCATGTGTTTTTATGGCAGAACGATTTCTATTCCTTTTGGTGTATACTCAGTAAATGGGATTGCTGGGCCGAATGGTATTTCAGACAGATTATTTTCTATAGAGACGAATCCTGGTCGCAGCCGAAGCAGCATGCCCCCTCCTTTCCCAGCTCAGCCACACACCCCGCTTATCTCCTGTTGCTGTTTCAAACACCCTCCCGCCTTTCCACCGCAAAGACCCTGCGCTTTGCGAAGATCCTCACTAGGGAATTTTGGAGACAGAACCTCTGAGAGCTGTCACCTCAGCTCGGGTTAGAAATCAATTCAGATTTCTGTGGGCAGCCTGAGTCCTGAGTGCACACCCAGACTTGCCTTTTCTTGCACACAATAGGCACTCAAAGTTTGCTCAATAAACAAGTAAATCAAGAGAAAATAATAAAAAGAGAGAACCCTCTTATTTGACTAAAGGAATGAGTTTGTATGTATTAGTTGCATACCCACCACATGCATATTGTAGTTGAACTGTTTTAGGATCCATGGGGGAGAATGGCCGTGCAGCTTGGCCCAAGTAGCTCTTTGCCAACAGGGAGGAGGCTGTCGCTATTGCCACCACTTCTTTACCACGATGGCTCTCTGTTTCCCTCTGGTGGTAGATCCATGCCCTGCAGTGGATGTTTCTACGATTCCCACAAGGTTAAATTTGAGCAGAATGGATTGTTAAATCTTGAAGGTCCTTACAGGTCTGTGATTACAGAGTTTCCCCAGCTAGACTATTGTGACACAATCTGGAAAGCCTCTGAATTCTTTACAAGATTAAAAATTGGTTTAAATTTTGATGAAAGTGAAAATATAAGCATCTTATGGGAGATGTGGATGATTGCTTTCCAATCACGTCCTGCACTGCAGTTCTGTTTTCACATTTGCCAGCACAGCCTGGGCTCCCTGTACCAGTAAAAGTTTTGCAGTTCGAAAACCGCAGCACACTATGGAATAAGCAAGCCCAGCGCAAAAGGCTTGTGCCTTCAGTCCACCTTCAGTGATGGGTGGCAATTCAGTTTCAGAAATGCGACATCCTCTCTCATGTTAGTTTGGCCAATTGAACTCTAATGATTTTAGTGTTGTTACTAATTACTTTAAAAATGTACTTTGGTGATACTTAAGCGCTATATGTCCAGCTTACACCTTATTTTATAATTGTGTATTTTTATGTGTTATTACAGTAAAAATGAAGTAATTCAAATGTGGAGGTCTGCAGGTTTTCCCTTTAACACTGGGTCAAGTGTTGAGCTTGTGTGAACAACAAATGATGCAACTGAGGTCCAGATGAATATGTCAGTGTAGCAGCATCATGTATTTGATTGAGGGCAGACCCAGGAATGCACACATAGAGCAGGTGTTCAAACTCCCAGTCCTGCATTCTCTCCACCAGGCCATCCAAATTGTCTGGATTCAAGAAAATCTATTTTGGTATTGATGAACTCCACTCTTTGCTTCCTTTTATCGGTGGAGACTGGATCTGTAATCACTTAAAAATAATCGACATTGAGATTAATTACTTCTTTTCATGTTGATTCAAGTCACAATGTATTTCATGTTGTCTGTAGCATTTTGCTTAACAATATTAAAATTATGTGATTCTTGCCCAAGAACAGCTTATAATTACATGCAGTGGGGAGAGGAGAGACGTATATGGAAATGTAAATAATTAACGGATAGTGTAGCAAGGCAAAGCTGTCACTGTTTTTCATTGTTTTCATTCTTTGTATCCCAGCAGTAACCTTTCTGAAAGTCTCCTAGGAAGTCAAGAAGGAAGCCCCAGTCCTCCTTGTCTCAGGTGTATCTGTCCAGGGGTCACTGCTCATTTCTGTGTGGGAGAATATGGCATATGAGCCTCAGGAGGAGGGTGGCCTGAAAGACACACTGCTCATGAGGTCTTATAGCATATAAGGGCTCTTTGGGAAGAATCAAACCCCCCAATCCCCGAGGCTGGGGTTTCCTTCTCTCAGAGCTGGAGAGCAATTTCTCTGCCACCAGCGCTGACGATTTGCCTTGGCTTGGAAAGCAGCAAGCTCTTATTGTGGCTGGCCAGGCCAGGGGACCCGTCACCAATGGGGCTGCACGTGCCAAAGCACTGCCGCCATGGAAGTGTGTGCCTGCTTGTGCACAGTCTGTGCATACACCAGTGTGTGCACATGCATGTATGCAGGCGTGCACGTGTGTCTGTGTGCACACACATATGTGCATCCACACTGGAGGCGAGGCCAGCTTCCTCACGTGTGGGACATGCAGCAGCTCTGGGTAGAGTCTGTGTTTTTCAGGCAGTGAGTGATACTTCATCTGGGGGCCCTGCAAGTTGGGAGTGGGGTATTCCTGAGTCATTTTGGCCTCTCAGACATTATGTGACTCCAGTGTAATCCCCAAACATGGGCCTTTGCTGCTTCCAAGTTCCAGGATAATTAGCTATGAATGTGCTGAGTGTTTTTGAAATTGTGGCCACCTATCTCTAGGACCTAAGAGTCCTCTATCTACAGTGTCAGGGAGTGTGTAGGCAAAGGTGACAGAGCGTGTGCAAACTAAGATAGTCCCTCTCCTGTCATGTATGCATTATCCACTCACCCCCAAACAATGGCTTTTGATAATTTCTCACCACTTGGTGGGCAGGCTGGGCCAGGTGGTCTAGGATGGCACCCTCCTGTGGCCTGTGGTTGGCCGATGGGAGCTAGGGCAACGTGTGGCTCATCCCCCGGCTGGCTGACTGGCCTGGGCTCCTCCTTCATGCGGTGCTGGGGCAAGGCTCCCTCACCTGTCACCTTGTTGATGTCCCACTGGCCAAGCCCAGCTTCAAGCGGGGTGAAGACATACTTCACCTCTTGACAGGAGTGTCCACCAAGTCATGTTGCAGTTGGGGGGAGGGGGCATAATTGAGGACTTGTTAGGAATCTCCCTGCTTTGCAGCTGAACAGCAAAGATGAAGACATGGACCCCACCCTCACACGATTCAGAGTCTGGGCTGGGGGTCAGGTTGAGGACTGGATGGGGACTATACCGGCCCCGTGACCCACCATCAGAGTTGACTAAAGGCCAATAGGGCCCTTAGGGTGACACAGAAGTGGGCCCCACAGGGTGACATAGAAGATGCTGGGGGCGGGCTGCAAAGGGCAGGGGGCCCGTCCATCAGTGGAGAAACGGGCACAGCAAGCGCCATGTCAGGGGAATGGTGGGGAGGGGTTGGGAGAGGGCTGGTTGGGGCAAAGGAGGCAAATTAGGCCACCAAGCTGTGGCTAATTTGACCTTATTACAGAAAGGGTGGTATGATATTGTTATTGCTTTTAATCAGTTTCACGTTCTTGTTCAGGTAACTCTTGAACTTTTACTTATAATAGCTCTAGCAAATTTACCGAAAGTTTCTGTTTCTCTCTCTTTCTCCATTTCTGGCATTTATTGGTGCAACTGACAGAGTAGAATGAAAAATATGTGCATGAGTTTATACCCCAAGTCCAGGGATGATTTATGTAATCCTTTTTCCATTTCAGATGCATACTGATGTTTCTGTGGGAGTTACATTTATTATCCCAATTATATGGTGAAAGGGAAAACACATTTATACATTCATAGCTGAGGGGGTTGCAACTTCAGCTTTTCTGATTAAATTTGGCACGAGGATTGTGGCGACATTGAAAGCTGAAATTGCTGGAGATATTATTTATTGTGGCCTGCAGGCATTGTAGCAGAAATGGAATTTTACTTGAAATCGTAAAGAAAAAAAAGGCCTGAGGATTTCGGGATGCACAATTGCGTGGATGTCTCTGTAAAGGGGTGTCGAATGTGATTGGCACTCCCGGTGGGGAGGGGTGGAGGCTGCGGCTTTATTTTGATCTCTGCGAGAAACCCCCACTTTCCACCTCCCTGTCATTCTCTTCTCCTTCCACTGTCTTTGATTCCCCTCTCCATTCTTTTGCCTCCTGTTCTCTTGCCTTACCCTGAAAGAAGAAGTAGGCATTTGTGCACCTGCCTAAGTTGCGCTCACAGATCCTGAATAGAATAGACACAAGGCCTGCCTCGGGGCTCAGCCAGGATAGGACAATTCACTGGCAACTTTCCCACAGGGGCAGGCAGATTTTTTCCTCAGGAGAAGAGAAAATATGGGAAGACAGATCAGAAACTAGAGTTTTAAAATACAATTGTTTTCATCTTTGCGTTCTATTCCAGAGTTTGGCATAGAGGAAAGAGGGAAGCGAAGGGATTTCCTCATTCTTAAAGCTTCTCTTTGAGAGACAGACATAGAAGATAAAGAAGAAAGGGAAAAGGGGAGAGGAGAGAAGAAAAGCGGGGAGAAATTGGGGAATGGGAGAAGATGCTGGGATGGGAGTAGGCAGTTACGGCGTTTTGTGCTCTGGTGTGCTGCCCCACAAGCGAGACTGGGACCACGTGATTCTGGGGGAGATTTGCAAAATACCTGCCCGACTAAGCACACAAGGGTGTTAGGGCAAAGATGCCATGGCAGCATTGTTTATAACAGTGAAATGTGGGGAACATATTTAGTAAGAAGGCAGTAGTTAAAATTATGTTGTTTCTTCCCACGGAACACTATGCAAACATTAAAATAATGTAGTAGACCTCTACTTATTTCTACTAAAAGATATTCATGATGCATATTTCTAAACTAAGAAAAGCAGTTTGCAAAACTTTACAAAACAGCATGTCTAGTAGGGTCCTCTTTTGTAAAAATATATACGTATAACTATATGAAAGTGTACATAGAAAAATCTGGAATAATATACGCTAAAATGTTAACTGATTTTTTTTTCTGGGTAGTAGGATTTGAGGGAACTTTTTACATTCTTCTTTATATATTCCTTTCCTTATTTTGTGGCTTTTTAAATATAGACTTAATTTTTTGAAGCAGCTTTGGGTTCATAGCAAAATTGAGCCGAAAGTACAGAGAATGCAAACATATCTCCTTCCCCCATCCCCCAACAGGTGCAGCCTTTCCGGCTATCACCTTCCCGCACCAAGAGTGGGTCATTTGTACACCAGTGAACCCACATCATCATCACCCAGAGAACAGAGTTTACATTAGGGTTCACTCTTGGTGTTGTAAATGTTAAGGGTTTTGACAAATATATAATAACCTGTATCCATCATTATCATATCATATAGAGTACTTACTTGCCCTAAAAAATCCTCTGCATTCTGCTTATTTATCCCTCTCCCTAACCCCTGGCAACCACGCATCTTTTCACCATCTCCATAATTCTGTCTTTTCCAGAATGTCATAGAGTTGGAATCACACAGTGTGTAGCCTTTTTAGATCAGCTTGTTTTAATGAGCAATATGCATTTAAGGTTTATTCATGTCTTTTCATGGCTTGATAGCTTACTTCTTTTTAATGCTACTACTATTCCATTGTTTGAACGTACTACAGTGTATTTATCCATTTACCCACTGAAGGATATCTTGGTTGTTTCCAAGTTTTGGCAATGATGAATAAAGCTGCTGTAAAGATCTGTGTATAGATTTTTATGTGGATGTAAGTTTTCAACTCATGTGGATGGATATCAAGGAGCTCAATTGCTTGATTGTATGGTGAAGGGTAAGCTTGGGTTTGTAGGAAACTGCCAAACTGTTTTCCAAGGTGACTGCCCCATTCTGCATTCCCACCAGCAATGAATGAGAGTTCCTGTTGCTCTACATCCTCACCAGCATTTGGTGTTATCAGTGTTTTGGACTTTCGCCATTTTAATAATTGCTTGACATTTAAAGATAAACACATAATTTTTTTGGAATGAGAAAATCATTAGAGGTATTGTCCTTTTGAAAATAAAATCCATCTTATGTACAGCCTCAATGAGGTTATCAGGAAAACTCTAAATTCAAAGTTGGTAATCAGAACTCTTCCTATGGATTCCCCCTTCCATACTGTAAGCTTAAACTCATTTGCTTGCTTTTCTAAATCAGTGGTTCTCAAACTTCAGTGTGCATTGGAATCACCAGGAGAGCTTGTAAAAATGTAGACTGCTGGGCTGCACCCCCAGAGTTTCTGATTCAGTAGGTCTGGGGTGGGGCCTGAGAACTTGCATTTCTAACAAGTTCCCAGGTGAGGCTGATGCTGCTGGTGTGGAACCCCACATGTCACACCTTGAGCCATGCTGTTCTAGATAAGGAAAAAGGTGCTTCAAAAAGTTAGAAGTAATGATCTCCTTTCTAAGTTTTCCAAATTTTCTAGAACAAATGCTCCTTTAAAAATATCATATTTAGAATATTGTAAAAGAATTCCTGAATTTTTATGAGATCATTTTTTCTGAAAATAGATAACACATCTATATGAATATATATAAAATACATTGTGGGCCCTCAAATACCTGTAAAGTGAATTTCAGACAAAGCTAGTTTTCCATGGTGCATCCTGCCACGTGCCAACTGATGTTCGGTGTTATTGACAATCACTATCTGCATTGTGTGACATTCTTGTGGTCTGTCTATTTGATAAATTTTAAGCTTAAAGCCATTGTTCAAAAAGTCACACTATTGCTGACATTCAATGGTAAAGAATCTCAGTGAACCCAAGGAGTGCACATGCTTGTTTAAAGTTTTTTAAAAAGCACTTTCTTCTGTTCACTCTGTTGGCCCTGTGTACACAGCCACTAAGTCATTGGCACCCATTCCCTCCCACACCTGCCCTCAGAGCCCCTTGCATCCCCTGTGCAGTCAATTGGAGGGTGCTGGACTTCCTGGTCAATGCCCAGGCTCTTCTCAGTTTCCCTTGAGCCCCCTCATCAGTTTCTTGCACTCCCTTACCCTTTCTAAAGGACTTCCCTCGGGCTGGGGGAGCAGCAGGGAGCTCAGCTCTTTGGAGCCCAGCCCCTGCCTCCTGAGGGGCTACCCTGAGCTTTACACCATAGGGCTCCTCTGCAGGGTCAGCTGGAGATGCTCTCTGTGGGGCCTTCACTAGGCCTCCTCCTCCTTCCCATCCTGCCTTTGTCACTCCCTTCCTCATCTGCCCTGGGAGTGCTGGTGTCATAATCAATAAATCACCTACACACAGATTATATTAGTCCATCTCACGCTGCTATGAAGAACTGCCCAAGACTGGGTAATTTATGAAGGAAAGAGGTTTAATTGACTCACAGTTCTGCAGGGCTGGGGAGGCCTCAGGAAACTTACAACCATGGTGGAAGGGGAAGCAAACATGTCCTTCCTCACATGGTGGCAGGAAGGAGAAGTGCCGAACAAAAGGGGAAAAGTCCCTTATGAAACCGTCAGAGCTCGTGAGAACTTACGCACTATCACAAGAGCAGCAGCTTGGGGGTAACTGCCCCTGTGATTCAGTGATTCAGTGACCTCCCACTGCGTTCCTCCCATGACACATGGGGATTATAGGAACTACAATTCAAGGTGAGATTTGGGTAGGGACACAGCCAAACCATATCACAAATCGTTATCTTAGGGTCTACTTCCGGGAATTCTAACTTCAGATATGGGCCCTTTGTATGGTATGAACCCTAAGACATGTCTCAGTAGAGGTCGTCCACACAATATTATTAGCAACAGTGAGAGTGTCTGGGTGGGAACTCTGTTAGCAGCAAGGCCATGTAGGAACATAAGGCCCAGCTGAGGTCCTGGAGGGAATCCAACTCTTGCCCAAACCTGCAAAACATACAGATGACAAAGTTTAATAATGTGTGGGGCAGGAAATTAGTTGGGACCTATTAGCCCATGTGTCATCTTCAGGTCCTCCTTGCCACTTGACCTCTCCCATACAGCATTCAAGTAGCAGAATAGGGTGGAGACAGGCTGTGTGCTGGGTCCGGCCTCTCTGAACCTCTCTGAGCCAGGTACCCCATGGGCTGCTGGAGCTGCCAAAAGGTCCCTATGTCCTCACGTGTGGCACAGAAGTCATGAGGACAGCTGCTGCGTACAAAGGATGATGTAGTCAGGAACATGAGGGGCTTGAGTGGACAGAGGAAATGAGGGTCTGGCGGTACCTTCCCCAAAGCCTCTGCACCCTCTAGGTGTCCTAGAACTTAGACACAGCTCCAGGGAAAGGAGAGGCGAGACCTTGAGTTGAGTGAGATTCTTCTCCCTCATCCTGGTAGGATGGGGTATTAAAATAGAAATCCAGCTGAGGTACAGAAAATAAAGAAAGTTCTATTTCCTGCATCCATGCATTGGAGCACTGGGATCCATATGCACTATAAGTACAGGGGCACCTACCACATCCATGGTGCAGAATACAGCTGTACGGTATTTGACATATTAAACTTTTATGGGTTCAGGGAGTTTCTGCAATGCATGTGTATTCTTGTGTAAGGTCCCAAATATCTTAGACCTTCAGGAAAGTAAAGAAGTTGGTTAAACCAATACATAAAAAAACCCCATGCAAAAATCATGCTCTCACTTTATGCTTTGCTTTGACTTGCTTCACTTTTAAGCTTGCCCAGAGGCCAAGTAATCCCTGATTCAAGCCTGGTTAGAAGTAATCAGAAGAGTTTTGTTTAACAAAGCAAAGAGAAGTCAGCTCTTCAAAGCAAAACGTTCAAGGGATTTAATTTTTATGAACCAAATGTATCATATTTACTGAGTCCCTAATCTGGCCCAGACACTGAGGTTGGCGCCTTGGCCTCTGATAAAGATAAACAAGGGTAGGGGACCAGTTTGCCCTCTAGATCCTCTTTTTGTCTTTCCTCCACAGTAACTCTTGAAAGACGGGTGCATCAGACCATTGTTCCTTAAGGGACTGCTGTTTCTTTTCCTATTTATAACACGGGGAGGATGATATTTGCCTCAGTAATTTTGAAGGAAAGAGAAAATAAATGAATCATTTTAAAGACTTGGCTTACACAGAGCATGACCTTAGAAAGCCAATTCTTTTATGATTGATAATGTTGGCAATGATATTGGCAATGATAATGTTGACAAGCCCCTTGTATCAGTCCGGGTTCAGTCAGAGAAGCAGAACCACTGAGGGAAATAGACATATCTCTATCTATCAATTATCTATCTATCTATTGATCCATCGATCCATCCATCACTTATCTATTATCTATCTTCTATCTATCATCTAGCTATTGATATATATTCCACACATGAAAACACATACTCACAAACACACACACAAATATTAAGGGCTTTGTTATAGACACTTGACTCTACACAATTCTGGGAGCTGGTTGAGAGGTCCCTGCCTTAGGGCTGTTGCTTTCATGTCTGATGCTGAAGGTTGAAGAGTGCAGGGCAGGCAGAGAGGAAAGAAAGATGGATGTAAGTCTTGGAATCCAAGAACAAACTCAGAGCAGAGCAGGACACTGGAAGCTGTGTCCACTGTCATTGTTCTGACCTCAATGGCTTGGGTGTTCTGCAAAAGCTGGACCTTTGGTAGGAGCTAGGAGCTAGATACAAGCACATCTGGCCCAAGAATCAGAGAGGCTGGAGAGGAAATCCCAGGAAGGAGGCACAGCTGCAGGCCTGGTGGCCACCCCTTCATGCCAGTGAGGGAGCCAGCATTTAAGTGACAATGTGCAAGCCACACATGGCTGTTATTTCCTTTCTCCCTCCAAATCTTGCACAATGATCACTTTTGTGGCCACCCTAACTAGAAACTTCCAGCAAGGATGTAGTAGCTGTCCGTTCTCACACTGCTAATAAAGACATACCTGAGACTGGGTAATTTATAAAGAAAAGAGGCTTAATTGACTCATAGTTTTGCATGGCTGGGGAGGCCTCAGGAAACTTACAATCATGGTGAAGGGGAAGCAAACGCTTCCTTCTTCACGTGGCAGTAGGGGAGAGAAAGAGAGCCAAGTGAAGGGGGAAGCCCCTTATAAAACCATCAGAACTCATGAGAACTCACTATCATGAGAATAGTATGGGGGAAACTGCCCCCTTGATTCAATTATCTCCATCTGATCCCGCCCCTGACACATGGGGATTATTGTAATTCAGGATGAGATTTTGGGTGGGGACACAGCCAAACCATATCAAAAGGAATTTTGGGAAGTGTAGTTTATCCTAGTTGTGTTGACATATTACCAAATCGTCACACCCCTGAATAAACGGTTTTTTTTTTTTTTGCCCCAGGATACCTGTAGTTCTTGTAAATCACGTTTTAGGCCTTTCAAAATGTGCTTTCATTTTGTTTTAACAGCATGTCTATTGATGTATTTTGCTGTTGCAGAATATAACTAGTAATAACATTTCATACATGTATTTCCATTTCTTTCTATGTATGCTTTAAAATGGATACATGCATATATGGTTTTATGCCCTTATTTGTAACTTTATACCTTTATATATTTTTCATGTCTTTAAAAATTATGTATAAACTGAATTTTAATAGCTAAATATGTAATCAGATACATGTACTAAATTTTATACTATCATCCCCCCATTATTGGATTTTTAGGTTCTTTTTTTTTTTATTTGAGACAGGGTTTCACTCTGTCACCCAAGCTGGAGTGTGATAGTGTGAGCACAGTTCACCGCAGCCTCAACCTCCCACACTCAAGTGATCCTCCCACCTCAGCCACTGGAATAGCTGGGACTACAGGCACATGCCACCATGCCTAGCTAATTTTTTTGATAAAGATGGGGTTTCATTACATTGCCCAGACTTAATTTTCCACTTTTCAAGTGGTGGAGTGGACATCTTTTTGCATAAATCTGATTATTCCTTAAAATTCACAGAAATTAAATATAGTAAACATCTTAAGTCTCTTGCTACATGTTAATGAATATGTAAAAATTTACTTAAATATTTTGATAGGTTACAATTTATGGTCCCATCAGAAGTACATTTAACTCATACTTTAATTTGGAAAGAATCAATATCTTTATCATATTCGGTCTGAGTATTTTAGAACATAATATATTTCACTGAGGCTCAGAAACTTCCCCTGCCCCCACATTATAACATGTTTGAAATTAGGATTTATTTACAATAGATGATGTTTCATAACTTAATTGGCAGTGTTTTATTTCTTAGTGTTATATACAATAATGGTACATCTTATCATCTATGGCAATTTATATTTGATGAAGAAAGTATCTCTTCATTTAGTTAAGCCCTTTTTTAAAGGTTCTAGATAAAGATCAATAGTTCTCCATTTTAGGTCTCATTAAACAATAAAATTATTCTTAGGTAATGTATGAGTTGATTGCTTTTATAAAGGGAATCTTTTATATTTTAATCTGTAATAGATTATTGTTAATATACATGGGAAAAGCATTAATTTTGTTTATTTACCTTATATTCTTTTTTTGAGATGGGGTCTTGTTCTGTTGTCCAGGCTGAAGTGCAGTGGCACAATCATAGCTCACTGTAGCTTTGAACTCTTGGGCTCAAGCAATCTTCCTGCTTGATCTTCCAATGTGCTGGGATTACAAGCATACACCACCATGGTGCCTGGCTAGTTTTTAAAAAATATATTTTGTAGAGATGGGTCTCACTATGTTGCCCAAGTTGATCTCAAACTTCTGGTCTCAACCAATCCTCCCACCTTAGCCTCCTGAGTTACTGGGATTACAGACGTGAGCTACCAGGTTTGACTCTACCTTATATTCTTATATTCATCTTAAGTCACTGTTCATTTATTTTTCTTTTTAATGACTAAGTCATGGAAAACTTTGGTTTTATTGTTTGGTACAGGTTTGGCTCCACCTAATAATTTGTGAGATTTTGTTTATGCCCAAACATTTTATTGAACACCTCCAAATTGTGGGGAAACTGTTATAGGCTGTGGATACAAAGATGACGAAAATTCTCTTCTTGTCCTCAGGGACTCACAACATAGTAGACTAAAAGACTAGATTATTTTTGTTTCACTAAAATGAAATATGCACTGAATGTATTTGGAATGAAGCCTCTTGAGCAATCTTTGCAGCTGTATGCAGCAGCGGTAATTGCTATAAAGGTGGGCTTTGAAGTACATAAAAATAGCCTTTAGAACATCTGACCCTCCCACTACTTTCTGCACCTTTACTTCTCCTTTGTATTTGAGTTATTACCCTTCAATTACATTTTCCCTCTTTCAAGGAACAACAAACACTGAGTACACCATAACTGATGGTAATTGATATCTCAGGGAACTCTTGCATCTCTAGTAAAATTTTGACTAGTCTTGACTATAAATTTAAACCAAATGAAACCTGACTCTAATGATTTCTTATACTCTGGCTCCAAATATTTAATCTATTTGGGAAATATAGTCCATTTTCTGCTGCTATAACAGAATACCTGAGCTTAAGTAATTTATAATAAACAGAAATTAATTGGCTTACACTTCTGGAGGCTGGGAAGACCAAGATCAAGGTACCAGCATCGGGTGAGGGCCTTTTTGTTGTGTCATTTTAGAAGTTAATCCTTGAATAGTTCATATAAACATGTTATAGAACGTTTAAAAACCTTTCTTCCTATGTTTATTAGTAGCGGTAGAAGTGGGTTTGGTGATCAGTCAGCAATCTCAGCCTGGGGAAGAACAGGGAGAATAGATAATGCATGCTGACGGAATGTGCTGGGTTTCAGGGACCCATGGAATAGCCAGCGCAAATGCGGGACTAGACCAGATAGACAGTAGGTAAAATTATAGGAGTGGAGGCAAATGTCAACTCAGACATACGACATGTTGGAAATGTGTTTTAGGAAGGTCAGTCTTATACTAAGGTACAGGATGATCTGGAGAGCTGGAAAGGGACTTCAGTTAGAATGCAATCACACTTACCTAGGTATGAAGTAAGAGGAACCTGACTAGGGTGGTAGGAGTAACAGTGGAATGAAAGGGTAAGAGATTCTGCAATTAAAACCAAGGGGACTTGTGATGGATTGGCTAGGTAAGGTGAGATAGTGCCTAAGATTTCCGTACCTAAGAGCTTTGGAAAATGGAGGACCATTAATGGAAACAGAAGGTGTTAATGGTTATGGGACTGGGATTCAGAGAGAACAGCGAAAATTACATGGGGTATTGCCATTTGGATTTTGATAATAATAGGAAATTCAAGTGCAAATACCCGGTAGGAAGCTGGAGAAGGGGAGCTGAACTCAAAGGAAAGATTGGGGCTGAAAATATAAACTGTATTAGTCTGTTCTCACACTGAAATAAGGAGCTATCTGAGACTTGGTAATTTATAAAGAAAAGAGGCTTAATTGGCTCACAGTTCTGCTGGCTCTACAGGAAGCATGGCTGGGGAGGCCTCAGAGAACTTATAAACATGGTAGAAGGTGAGGGGGAAGCAGGCGTGTCTTACACGATTGGAGCAGGAGGAAGAGAGAGCAGGGGGGAGATGCTATGCACTTTTAAACAATGAGATCTCACGAGAACTCATTCACTATCATGAGAACAGGAAGGGGGAAATCTGCCCCCATGATCAAATCGCCTCCCACCAGGCCCCTCCTCCAACATTGGGGATTACAATTCAACATGAGATTTGGGTGGGGACACAAATCCAAAGCATATCATAAACCATCTTTGTGGATTATAGCTGAAGTTTGAAATTAGAGAGGTTTCCTAAGGAGAGTGTAGACTTTTCCATTATAAGTTTAAAAATCAGAATAGGTCATCTTTTCTCTGAATTGCAAACTATCAAAAACTAAAGTACAGCTTATTATCGTTATGCGTGGTAGTTATGGTTTATACATTTGCTATGAACACTGAATTAGCAAATACTGAAGCTTGGCTCCTGGGGGAAATACAGGGTTAGGTTCCCGTGAATCGCTGATCACAACATTTTCATCAAGCCATCAATATATACCCTTTTCTAAGTGTGTGTTTATGTTTAAAGACATTTTATTTAACATACGTCGTGGATGCATTAACATAGAGCTCATTGCCAACAGCGCTGTAACTCACGCCTGAATGAAGCTTCTCTAACACACGTATTTTCTCCATAAGGCACAGCACTGCATTCTTGCACTTAGGGACGCTAGACAGCACTTCAGCACGATCTTGGGGGCCATTTTAAACAGCGAAATCACCAACAATGACCACAAAAATTGTGAAAACCATAGCGGTAAAGAAATAGTGAAAAGGACACTTGTTTACACTGTCAGAGCTGGGACAAGAAGGCAGGGTGTCACCTTGTTAGACTTCAGCCGAGAACGTGCCAGTTGGGTGATTCATATTTTGCACCACTCTGCTCATGTCTGAGAATGACCTCGAAAGCACCATGGGCACTGATTTGGGGTCACAATTCAATTCTATAAAGTAGGCTAATTCGCAAATCAGAACCATGAATAATGAGGACCCAGTGTACTTGTGTGATGGTTAATATTGAGTGTCAACTTGATTGGATTGAAGGATGCAAAGTATTGTTCCTGGGTGTGTCTGTGAGGGTGTTGCCAAAGGAGATTAACATTTGAGTCAGTGGACTGGGAGAGGCAGACCCACCCTCAGTCTGGGTGGGCACCTTCTAATCAGCTGCCAGCTTGGCCAGAATAAAGCAGGCAGAAGAACGTGGGAAGACTGGACTGGTTTAGTGTTCTGGCCTCCATCTTTCTCCCGTGCTGGATGCTTCCTGCCCTTGAGCATTGGACTCCAAATTCCTCAGCTTTGGAACTCTTGGACCTTTGGCCACAGACTGAAGGCTGCACTGTCGGCTTCTCTGCTTTTGAGATTTTGGGACTTGGACTGGCTTCCTTGCTCCTCAGTTTGCAGACGGCCCGTTGTGGGACCTCACCTTGTGATGGTGTGAATCAATACGCCTTAATAAACTCCCCTTTATATACACATCTATCCTATTAGTTCTGCCCCTCTGAAGAACACTGACTAATACAACTTGTATGAGAAGACAACTGGCATTGTTCACTGCCCACTTCTGGCTAAAACACTTAGGTTTAGGAGATCATGTGTGGATTTACCCGTCGTAGATATTTGAGCTATTGGGAAGTAAACTGGGAAATAAACTGGCCTAAAGTAGTTTGGTCAAGTTCAACCAAAGTTTGCTCTTATGTATTTCTTACCATTTAAGAAATAGAATTCTGGGTGTTCAAAGTAGATTAAACATTAGCTATTTTAACAAACAGTCCCAAGATCTAAGTGACCTACTATAATAAGGTGTATTTCTTGTTCATATCAGATTGTAATGCAGGACAGAGTGAGGGGTGTTTTGGGACTTAGGGTCCTTCCTCCTGTTAGCTCGGCTGTCCCCAAGGGCCTCAGAGTCTGCTGCTGGATTTTCTCCATTCTACAGGCTGACCACCAGAAGCATGGACAGTCCTGTGGATGTTTTACCAGCCAGGACTGGAAGTAATGTATGCCACTTTCATTACACTCCACTGGCCAGAACTCAAACTCAGTCACATTCCCCACTGAGCTAAATGCAAGGGGTCTGAGAAATACAGGAGGTTCCCAAGTCTAGGTGCATGTTCCCTCTTGCTGCGGTAACACATTGCTACAATCGCAGGGGCTTCAAACAACACAAATGTTTCCTCTTACAATTCTGGAGGCCAGAAGCCCAAAACGCATCTCACGGGACTAAATTCTAATGGGATTGCCAACCCTGAGAATCCACGTGGGTGAGACTCTTGAAGAAGAGCAGGGAAGGCGCCAGCCATCTGAAGCAAGCATTCAGCCAGCATCATGTAAAGCCCTGTGGAATATTTCCCAGAGAGGCCTCTAGAAACTCACAGAGGCACGCATGAGAGTGAAGCAAGCCTAAAACATTTCCAGCTGGGCAAGAACATTCCTGTTCCTGTTCTTCCTACTCCTTTTCCTACCTTGACTCTGGAAGGGTCTGGAAAAATCAAAGGAAAGAAGAGAAGGCTTCGCACTCTGCAGTCTTCCAGGTACAGCGGGCTCCAGCTGGGCGGTGGCAGAATATCCAATTTTAAATCCTTTGGAATTTTTACTATTACATACGACTTTTTTTTTTTTTGAGACAGAGTCTCACTCTGTCGCCCAGGCTGGAGTGCAGTGGCGTGATCTCAGCTCACTGCAACCTCCACCTCCCGGGTTCAAGCAATTCTCCTGCTTCAGCCTCTTGAGTAGCTGGGATTACAGGCATGCACCACCGCACCCAGCTAATTTTTGTATTCTTAGTAGAGATGGGGTTTCGCCATGTTGGCCAGGCTGGTCTGGAACTCCTGACCTGGTGATCCGCCCACCTCGGCCTCCCAAAGTGCTGGGATTACAGGCATGAGACACTGCGCCCAGCCTATTACATAGGATTTGACATTTTTAGTCACGGAATTGACACAGTGTTTCTAACTTAGAGCAACCTTAGAATTTATTTATTACTCACAAATTCACAGGAGTCGTGACACTGCCTGAGTTTCCTCCCTGAGTCGGGAAGAACTTTTCCCACTCCCACTGTACATATTTTAAAGAAACAGTGAAAGATAAAAATAAGGAAGTTTCCTTATTAGATCTCATGAGTTTTCCTGTTCAATGTGTATCCTTTATAGTTCTACAGAAACATGTTTAGGCTTCACAAGCTCTTCTGAAACTTCCTTTATCCACCTGCTGATATGCATTCGAGAGCTTCCTGCATCCGTGTAACTTCAGTCCATTGACTTTAGTGGCTCTCAGAATTCTACAGTCTGGATGGACAATACTTTACTTAACTACTGCTTTATTGATGTGACTCTGTATTCTTTTTACTTTTATTATTAAAAGTAATATTGCAAAAATACTATCCATCATCTGTGTGACAGCCATATTCTTTGAACACTGCGTGTTTTCTGTTTTTTACTTAATTTAGCCAGAGTGTGTCTCTATTGTTTGCCAGTGATATAAAGGTTTCTCAAAGCGGGTAAACCTTGGGCTGAGTCTTTAAGGGTGAATAGGTGTTTCAAGCAGCCCAGGACAGGTGCAGAGGGGGTGGGATCATAAAACACGTGATGAAACCAGTGTTGGTTCTGAATGTCCCCAATCCCTCTAATTGTTCTCTAATTAGAAGGATTTGTCAAAATATTAAATGAACATGTTCTTTATATCTGAGGTAGCAAGTTGGACTTCTACCAGCGGTCTGAAAAGTCACTGGAGTGGAACTGCTATATTGCAAAGAAGATTGAGCAAGTGTTGTTTTTATCTGCCTGTCTTCCATTCTCTCTCTTTCTGATAATAACACCTCCATTTTCTTTTGGGGGAAATGGAGATGTAATAAGAAAATATCTCTAATTTTTGTCTTCTGCTTTTCTGTTGACACAAATCCATGTGGTTTGTGCTTGTCCGGCGTCCAGAAAACTCTGTACGCCGCCCTCTTGTGGAGAAGGGAGGTCATGCCACCCAAACTAACCCAATCAGATGCTTCCTCCTGGGAACTTGAATTTTTAAGAAACACAAAAATGGAAAATTATTGGAAATGATTTGTCCAGAAAGAGGTGCCTTAGAGAAATTGGCAACTGTTTCTGCCCTAGAGCTTTTCTGATCTTGTTTTTCTGGAGACCTTGTTATTCAGCCTTTTCTTTAATCCAGGGAGCTCTTCCATATTTTTCAAATATCCTGAGTTTTTTGTTTGTTTTTTACTTCATTTAGCCGGAGTGTGTCTCTATTGTTTGCCAATGATCTAAAGGATATGTTCGTTTAGTATTTTGACAAATACCTCTAATTGTCTTCCAATCGGAGGTAGCATTTGTATTTCTACCCACAATTGGAAGCGTCTGGGCTTCATTTTTATTTTGATTTGTTTTAAATAGTTCTGTTGTGTTATGAACAGAGAGTCTCCTCTATTCAATCTTCCTAATACAATACCACTTCAATTTCCCGATAGAGTGATGTTGCTTACTTCCAAGTGAGAGAAATGCTGCTTGCTGTAGTGGGTTGGCCAACAAATAAATTATTTATTATTGCCAAAAAAACAACTGGTTTATATTAACTTGCCAGAGGCATAACTGATAAAATGATCTAGTGTCAAATTAATTTCATTTATAAGTGAAGTGATTCGTAAGGATGTGAGCCACAAACTTGGACACTAAGTATTCCAAAACCAAGCATTCTTACATGATCACCTTAGCAACTGTAAATAATGACATCACCAGCAAATACCAGCAAAAGAATGGACAGGCATGATACAAAAAGCTCCTTTAATTAACATCATGTTTGCCAATTACTTTATTCTTAGGTAAACCATCTGTAAAAGTAGCATAATTTGTGATTTGAATTGAAGGCATGTGAAAAAGAACTCAGATTCTCTAACTGGGCAAGTAACATCACTAAAGTAATGTCCTGTGTGCACAGAGGGCTCCTTGCCTGTGTGGAAAAAAGTGTCTAGGTGATTTTTGGAAAATCTAAATAAAGCAAAGATGAACATAAGTAAAGATGAACCACAGCGAGTACACAATCACCAACAACTGTGTGTACTGGAGACAGTGTGAAGAGATGAAGCCATGCCCACACCCAACTTCTTGAAACATTTCCTGTAAAATGAATAAAGGAAAACATTTACACATTTGATTTTTGTCTCCTCACTTCACCTACCTTGGTTGAGATTAAAAGAAAATGGAAATTGTCCAGAGGAGAGAGATTCATAGTATTGAAACGAGGACTTTTCAAGGTTTTGCATAGGAGTGTTGCTGAAAATCTTTGACAGCCAATAAATAATGGTAATGTAATGTCAATAAATATATGAAGCAAAATTAAATCAATAACCCCCATATGGTTACAGGATGTTTTATAGGATCTCAGAAAGGAAGATTACTTAAGTAAATAAAGTTGTGTTGTTTTGTTACTAAGATACGTGGAAAAGATTGTCTTTCATGTGCCAAGCAATGCAACGGACAGAAGGAGAAACTGCCAAAGGCCTGAAATAGATAAAAGCTCCTTGCCAAGGCCTCCAGTGTGGAATAGACCTCAGGATAGTGGACATCCATGCTTCTCATATTTCACAATTAAGAGTGATGTTTGCCCTTGGTTCTTTGTGGATGCTATTCATCAGTTTATGAAATCTCTCTTGTGTTTTCAGTTTAAGAATTTTTTTTAAGATGTTGAATTTTATCAAATAGTTTTTGTGCGTCAAATGAGAAGACCGTATGGTTATTCTCTATCATTCTATTAAATGTGGTAAATTACATTTATTCTAATATTAAACCTCTTCTGAATTCCTGGGATAGAGCAAATTTGGACAAGATTAGACTTGGCTGCATTTGGTTGTTAATGCTGTTTAGAATTGTTGTATCAATGTTTATCAGTTAATCGTCTGTAATTTTCCTTCATCATATCATCTTTGTCTGGTTTTGGCATCAAGGCTATATTAACCTCACAAGAATGCTACAAGGGGATTGTTTAGTTTTTCTAAATGAAATGTTCTAATCTTTCCAGATGATTGGAACAATTTTTATTGAAAGGTTTTTAGAATTTGTCCATAAAGTTTTCTGGGCCTTCTATTTTCTTTATAGGAAGATTTTAAACTACTAATTACATTTCTTTAATAATTGCAGGACCGATTGGTCATTCCCATTGTTTTAAAGTCAAATTTTGTAGGTTATAATTTTCCAGGAATTTATTTATTTTATATGAATTTTCAAATTTATTAACATAACATTTGATAAGCAGATGAGGTAATTATGATAGGTAGACAAAATAAGTATGATAATTCATAGCAATCTTCTTTTCTTTTTCTTTTTCCTTTTTTTAAGATGGAGTCTCACTCTTTTTGCCCAGGCTGGAGTGCAGCGGTGTGATCTCCGCTCACTGCAACTCTGCCTCCCAGGTTCAAGCAATTCTCCTGCCTCAGCCTCCCAAGTAGCTGGGATTACAGGCATGTGACACCACGCCCGGCTAATTTTTGTATTTTTAGTAGAGGTGGAGTTTCACCATGTTGGTCACGCTGGTCTCTAACCCAACTCGTGACCTCAGGTGATCCGCCCCCCTCGGCCTCCCAAAGTGCTGGGATTACAGGCAAGAGCCACCACGCCTGGCCTTTTCTTTTTAATATCTACTGTTTGTGTAGTTGTGTCTCTTTAAATCTTACTACTCTTCATTTGTGCATTCTATCTTTTTAAAAAATAAATATCATTAAATATATGGCAATTATATTAGTCTTAGCTAAGAACCATTTTTTTTGCATTACGCCCTCCATGGTACCTTTGTGTTCCTTTTCACTAATGTCTGCTAGTATCTTAATTATCTCCTTCCTTTTTTTTTTTAAAAAAAAGAGTTTGTTATCTTCCCCTAACTTTTTAACGGGGTATTCAGCTTATTTTCAATCCTTTATTTTTAAATACAAGGTATATTTAAGGCTAATATATAGCCTTACATTTAAGGCTTTATATTTCCCTCATATATAAATATTAAGGCTATATATTTTCTACTTTTGCAATATCCTACCAGTTATGATACGTACAAGATTTATTATTGTTCAGTTCTGAGCATTTAAAAGTTTGTGTTATGATTTTGTCTATGTTTGATTTCTGAAAATATATTTTAAATTTTGATTTTTAAGTCTGACTTCATTGCACTATAGTGAGAGAACATAGTCTAGATGTATAATTTTTTTTTTGAAATTTGATATGGCTTTTTTATAGCCTAATTTATAACCAATTTTTATAAATGTTCCATGTGTGCTTGAGAACAGTGTGTATTCTATATATGACCATTAAACCAAGCTTAAACTAAGCTTTGGAATTGTTCGGTTCAAATTTTCTATACTCTGCTACTTGATCTGGTTTATCTACCAATAACTGAAGAAGGAATGTTGAAATCCTATTCTTTATTTAGAAGTTAGACACTATATTTTGTAGTTGTTACTCTTAAAATTTTGCCATACTTAATGAAAAAACTATACAGTTTACTTTCCATTTTCCCTGCTGAACAATAGAAATTCATTTGCACATGCTTAACAACACACACCCAACTGATTTCATTCTTTTTCATTCTCATCTTTTGTGTATTGTCTTTGGCTGGGCATGATGGCTCATGCATGTAATCCCAGCACTTTGGGAGGCCAAGGTGGGCGGATCATTTGAAGTCAGGAGTTCGAGACCAGCCTGGCCAACATGATGAAACCCTGTCTCTACTAAAAATACAAAAATTAGCCAGGCGTGGTGGCACACACTTGTAATCTCAGCTACTTGAGTGGCTGAGGCAGGAGGATCCCCTGAACCCAGGAGGCAGAGGTTGCAGTGAGCCAGGATTGCACCACTGCACTCCAGCCTGGGCAATAGAGTGAGAGACTCTGTCTCAAAAACAAACAACAAACAAACAAAAAACCACATACTTTGTGTATTGTCTTCTTTTCAAACTCTATGATTAAGCCTTTAAAAATTATACTGTACAATTGGTCTTTGTTTAGATTTACCTGCACATTTCCACAATTCTTTGTCTGCCATTTCTCTCCTTGCATCCCAGACCTTTATTCTGAAGTCAGTCTTTTCTTCCTGAAGTACTTTCAGAAGTTCCTTTAGTAGAGGTCTGTAGGTAATAAGTACTCTCAAATTACAATTGGTCTTTGTTTAGATTTACCTGCACATTTCCACAATTCTTTGTCCGCCATTTCTCTCCTTGCATCCCAGACCTTTATTCTGAGGTCAGTCTTTTCTTCCTGAAGTACTTTCAGAAGTTCCTTTAGTAGAGGTCTGTAGGTAATAAGTACTCTCAAATTTTATTTATCTGAAAATGCCTTTATTTTACTTAATTCTTGAAAGATAATTTTGCTGGGTATACAATTCTAAGCTTGCAGTTATTTTCTCTGGGAAGTATGAAGATATTCCACCATCTTCAGCCTATTGTTGAGGAGTCTGCTGTTAACTATAGTCGTTTTGCAGGTGTTCTTTCATTACTTTTTGGCTGCTTTTAATCACCTTTTTTACATTCTGTGTTCTTAACCTCAATACAATGTACTTGGATTTTGTCATATTTATCTGGCTTGGTATTTGTTGTGTGTCCTATATCAGTGGATTTACATCTTTTATCAGTCCTCAGCCATTATTCCCTTGAATATTATCTCTTCTCTATTCTGTCAATACTTTTCTTCTGAGACTTTGACTGGACATGTGCTAGACTTATTAATTCTATTTTTCATAACTTTTTACTTCTTCATATTTTTCATTTCCCTGTATCTCTGTGTTATAATCTTAGTAATTTCTTCTAACTAGTCTTCCAGTTCCCAAATTTTCTCTTCTACCATATCTAATCTACTATTTAGCCATCCACTGAGCTTTTATTACCCATGGTAATATTTTTCATTTATAATTTATATTAAGCTTCTGCTCAAAACGTTATTTGTTTTTTATTTTATTTTTATTTTTCTAAACATGTCATGTATTATTTTATATTTTGAATCTAATAAATACTAGTATCTGGAAAACCTGGGAGCCGTATCTTGTTTTGGCTGGCTCTTCTCATCGTGTTTATTTCTTTGAGGGTTTATGATCTCATATTCTATTGATCTTAAGCTGTGGAAATCCTGAGGGCCTAAATTGAGGGGGTTTTCCTCCAAAGAGGTGTTCTGTTTGCTTTTGCTAGCGACAGAAGATGTGTCTGACCTAGAACACTCAGAAGTCCAGACTTTTTTGTGTGTGTGTGTGATAGAGTCTCGCTCTGTTGCCCAGGCTTGAGTGCAGTGGCAAGATCTTGGCTCACTGCAACCTCCACCTTCTGAGTTCATGTGATTCCCCTGCCTCTGCCTCCGAGGTAGCTATGACTTCAGCCACACACCACCATGCCTGGCTGATTTTTTTGTATTTTTAGTAGAGATGGGGTTCTACCATGTTGGCCAGGCTGGTCTCAAATTCCTGACCTCAGGTGATCTGCCCACTCTGCCTTCCAAAGTGCTGGGATTACAGATGTTAGCCACCACGTCCGGCAGGAGCACAGATTGATGTGGGGGTCAGAGGTGCTGAGATTTAGTCTCTGTCTGCGGTAAGCCCAAAGACCCCTCAATGCCCCATCACACATATATCACATTCTGTTAATTCTACCTCCACAGTATCTTGTCTAAGAACTTGTTTCTTTGATGAAGCCCTCAATCAGGTTTTTTTGACCTCTCACTGGGATTATTTTAATGGCCTCTTAACTCCTTCTCTCCCTTGATTCTTTCCTCCTGCCAACCAATCCTGCAGCTAGCTGCTTAATTAAGCTTTCTGGAGCGCAAGTCTGATTTTTATAGTGTAAATCCCTTAGGTTTGTATGGTTTGTCATCTTTTTGAAGATACTGCCATTAGGTTGTCTCACTAATACCTCACTGCTCCTTTGTGAGAAATAGTTGATATACTTTTCTGTTCAGTGGCTTCCTCTTGCCTTCAGAGTAAACCCAAACTCCCCAGTCCTGCCTTTAAGTTTTTCTATTATGAGCTCTATCCCATCTTTAAAACCCTGTCCCCTGCTAATCCCTTTCATGCATCCTCCAGTCCAGCCAACTCCACTTCTTAACTCTCTCCTTTACCTTCCTTGCATTGGTCTCAGTGATGAAACTGTCTTGTCATCTCCGTTTCCCCTGGTTATTATCTTTCCTGCAAGGTCTGGCTCAAACACTGACTCTTCCAAAACTCCTGTCATTGATCTCCTCACCAGAACGTGTCTCCTGTCTGCCCTATGTCTCCTGTGCATTAGGCAGTGTATGAGTATGAATATGTATGTATATCTATATGTGTATGTATGTAGACATACCTACACACATATCCTGTTCTTGGGAATTAATTACTTCGTCTTACAGTTCCTTTTCCTCTCTTATCTCTCTGTCCTGCTCCTCTGAAGCTGCTTTTTGAAGTCAGGTTCTGTTTCATCTTTGTAGTCAATCCTCTGTTCTGTTCACTCCAACCCTATCTCGAATAATTTTTTGACATAAAGATGAAATACACTCATAGGATCCTAAGTATTTTGAAAGGAGCACAGTGGAGAAGTGTCTGAGATGGTCACAGCTACACAATTTCACCCAGCTGCTCCTGGCAGACTTGCAGATGGAAAGTGTGACTGGAGGTGGATATACTCAGTGGCTGATTCCTCTTACTGATTTGAGTTTCAGTAAAGAGGAAAACAAACCCAAATAAGCCAGAGAGAGAATCTTGAATGAATGACGGGAAGCTCAGGGCTCAGGGCATCACAGCAAGGTAGGGACAGGTAATGTGGGGAGTGGATCCTTCAGTCCCTGGATGGGGGGCCATGCTTGCCATGTAGATTCTCCTTCCTAGTTTGAGAATCCTGGTGAGTTTCTCTTCTTGGAGAACCTGTAATAATAATCTGATATGGTGGCCTAGCAGTTTCAAGTTTCCTTGTGATATTTGATACTTGGCATATTTTATTTCTTGCCAACAGTTAAAACAAGACATCTTGCCGTTTAAAATATACTTCAGTGACATTTTTGTGCTAGGCTGTAAACCAAGCAAACAACTGCATGAAAAGAATTTTCAGCTTAATGAATTAGTCTTGTTTAGGAGTTTGCTAGTTCTTGCAATATGCAAAGTGTATTAGTCTGTTCTTGCACTGGATAAAAAACTACCTGAGACTAAGTGATTTATTCTTTTTAAAAAAGAGGTTTAATTAACTCACAGTTTCATAGGATGTACAGGAAGTATGGCTGGGGAGGCCTCAGGAAACTTACTATCATGGCGGAAGGCGAAGGGGAAGGAGGCATATCTTCACGTGACCAGAGCAGGAGGAAGAGAGAGAGAAGAAGGAGGTGCTATACACTTTCAAACAAGCAGATCTTGTGAGAACTCTATCATGAGAACAGCAAGGGGGAAATCTGCCCCCATGATTCAACCACCTCCCACCAGGCCTCTCTTCCAACACTGAGGATTACAATTTGACATGAGATTTGGGTGGAGACACAGAGCCAAACCATCTCACAAAGCAACCACATTGCTATATTTCAACCTTTTTTTGATAATAAATTTATTAATTCATACAGATAAGTCATACTTTTAAGTGAATAATACATGATTGGGCCTTGTACTTTGTTGATACCAAAATATTATTCATCTAAAAAATAATTCCAGACACTGTTTCTTCCTCAGGTACCTTCAGTATTTATCACCGTGCTCAACGAGTAGTAGGCATCCCATGAGTGTTTGTTGAAAAATTCATTGAAGATATTTAAAAATGCTTTGCTAAGGCCCAGTGTATTCTCTGCTTTCTTAGTAGTTCTATGGGTAACAAATAGGTGTGGGAGTTTGCAATGAAGTCAGGAGGAAGGACATGTGATTATAAACTATGTGAAGTGGCATAAGATTTGAATAAATGCAGCTGGGTGTGGTGGCTCATGCCTGTAATGCCAGCACTTTGGGAGGCCGAGGCAGGCGGATCACCTGAGGTCAGGAGTTCTGTGTCCCTAACAATATTTTAAAACTAGAGTATAGCCAGGCATGTTGGCACAAATGCATAGTCCCAGGTTCTCAAGAAGTGGAGGCAATAACTCAGGAGTTCAAGACGAGCCTGGCCAACATGGAGAAACCCCGCCTCTACTAAAAATACAAAAAATGAGCTGGGCATGGTGGCGTGTGCCTGTGATCCCAGCTACTAGGGAGCTGAAGCAGGAGAATTGCTTGAACTGGGGAGGCGGAGGTTGCAGCAGCCAAGATCGCGGCACTGCACTCCAGCCTGGGCGACAGAGTGAGACTCTGTCAAAAAAAAAAAAGTTAAAAAAAAGATTTGAATACATGTAAAACATTGTTGGAGTAAACTGATTAAGTGAGGGAAAAATGAGTGGGGGCCTTCCAGGCCAAGGGAAGTATGTGACAGCGTGCAGAGGAGGGGTGATCTATCAGAGCAGTAAAGAGGGAAATCCTGCATTGTCTCCATCTGCAAACGCTGCACAGGGGGTCCCGTTAAATGAAATGAGGCTGCAAATGGAGTCTGTCCTGGATGGGCTGCTGCAAAGGATTTATGAGCTGCGATGTATGTCATATTTTATGAACATAGAAGGATACATGCTGTAAAATCAAATAAGGTTATAATCTAGTCTTATGCATTTATGTATTTATTTATTGAGACAGGGTCTCACTGTCCTCCAAGCTGGAGTGCAGTGGCATGGCCACTGTTCACTGCAGCCTTGACCTCCTAGGCTCAAGCGATCCTCCTGCCTCCGCCTCTTGAGTACCTGGGACTATGGGTTTGTGCCAACATGCCTGGCTATACTCTAGTTTTAAAATATTCTCAGGGACACAGAACAGGGACACACTGACAGAGAGGCATCACAGGCCAGGGTGTAAATAAGGGGGAAAAGGCCTAGAGGAGCAGAATTGCCTTCTTGCAGAGGACTGTTGTATTAGTCCATTTTTGCACTGCTATAAAAAATACCTGAAAGTGGGTACTTTATAAAGAAAAGAGGTTTAATTGACTCACAGTTCCACAGGCTGTACAGGAAGTATGGGTGGGGAGACCTTAGGAAACTTACAATCATCATGACCCACCTGGAGCAGGCCTGAGAGGGCTGTGCAAGTGTGTACCTTCCCCAGCAGCAAAGCCTCAGCTAGAACAAAGGTGAGTGAGCCCAGAGGAGAGTCAAAGGAAAACAAATCATTTGGTTCAGTGAGCTGGAAAATATGCAAGAAAGCAGGGGTCTTGTTGCGGTGTCAGCCTGTGGCAGTAAGTCTCCATGTTGGTCCTCTATGATCCACCAAAGGTCTTCATGCCGTTTGTATAGTCCACTCCCATGTTGAATCAAGGCTGGTCTGTGTCACCAATAGAATATGGTGGTAGTGACAGTGGGTGACTTCTGAGGGTGGTCTGAAAAGGCATTGCACTTCTGCCTTGGACTCCTGCATTACTTGCTCCAGGGAAAGCCAACTGCCATGCTCTGAAGATATTCAAACAGCTTTGTGGAGAGCCACTGAGGCCCCATCTTGCAGCCAGCACTAACTTGCCAGCCCAGAGTGAACTAGCCAGGAAGTGGATCCTCCAGCCCCAGTCAAGCCTGCAGATGATGACAGCCCAAGCCCATGCAACTCATGAGGGACCTCCAAGCCAGACCTACCCAACCAGGCCACTTCCAGCTTCCTAACACTGGGAAACTGAGAAAGATAATGTACAATTATTGTTTTTAGTCACTACGTTTTGGAGTAAACAGAACACAAATTTTCTGAAAACAAAAAAACCTGTCACATACTTGGGTAATTGTTCAAGCATGAACTAGAAGAGAAGGAGATGGCCTGAGAAGTCTCCCTCAGTTGGTGCCTTTCTAATATGACCTGTTGGCCAAGGTGATTGATGACATTATATGAGTTTAGAGAGTTTTTCCTGGGAGCGATGGTTAATACTGCATTTGCCCAACCAGCTGCACAATCTGATTAGAGAAGTTATGATGTTGGCAAATTGCAAGGCATTCAGTGTCTAACTGTTGAATGAATGAAAGAAACAACAAACAGGGCAAGCATCACTAATTAATAAAAAAATTTGAATTTGCTACAAAATTACTTGCATTTATCCTCCTTCACCTTAGAGACAATACATAAATATCCTTTTACAAATTGCTAGTCTCACTACCAGTAGCCCAGAATGAGAAATTTAACATTTTTAAACTGTGTTTGCCAGAGTGTCTCTCAGCCTGAGGACATCTGTCTGC